>NW_021160023.1:300000-519485 GCF_000001405.40 Homo sapiens | reverse complement strand
GATCCCTCGGTCCAAGCCTTGGCAACACGGTGAAACCTCGTCTCAAAAAAAAAAAAAAAAAAAAAAATTACAAAAACTAACTGGTTTCATAACCTGGACTCAAAGTTAATAAATAGATAAATAGGCCGGGGGCGGTGGCTCACGCCTGTCATCCCAGCACTTTGGGAGGCCGAGGTGGACGGATCACGGGGTCAGGAGATCGAGACCATCCTGGCTACCACAGTGAAACCCCATCTCTACTCAAAATACAAAAAGTTAGCCGGCCACGGTGGCGGGCGCCTGTAGTCCCAGCTACTTGGGAGGCTGAGGCAGGAGAATGGCGTGAACCCGGGAGGCGGAGCTTGCAGTGAGCCGAGATCACGCCGCTGCACTCCAGCCTGGGCAGCAGAGCGAGAGTCTGTCTCGAAAATAAATAAATAAGTAAATAAATAAATAAATAAATAAATGTAAATAAATAAATAGATTAAAATGGAAAACTAAAAAAAAGTAAAATAATTAAAAAAATAAATAAATAAACGTAGCCGGCCAGTCACGATGGCTCACGCCTGTCACCCCAGCACTTTGGGAGGCCGGGGCGGGCAGATCCACTGGGGTCGCCAGTTCGAGACCAGCCTGACCCACATGGAGAAATGCCGTCTCTACTAACAATACAAAATCAGCTGGGTGTGGTGGCTCCTCCCTGTAATCCCAGCTACTCAGGAGGCTGAGGCAGGAGAATCGCTTGAACGCGGGAGGTGGAGGTTGCGGTGAGCCGAGATGGTGCCACTGCACTCCAGCGTGGGCACCAAGAGTGAAACTCCGTCCGAAGGGAAAAAAAAAAATTAATTAAGTGCTGTATTCTGTTATTTTTGCTTCCTACCCTGAGAAGAACATAATACAGCTGTTGTCTTTCTGCCTGCCTGCCTGCCTGCCTGCCTGTGGCAGGGCCTCATTCTGTCTTTCGCCCAGACTGGAGCACAGTGACACAACTATGGCTCACTCACTGCAACCTCAACCTCCCCAGGGTTAGGCGATTCCTCGAGGGATCCTACGGCCTCGGCCTCCCAAAGTGTTGGGGTTACAGGCGTGAGCCACCAGCACCCGGCCTGAGTTAATACATCTGGTCTCACTACGTCTTAACCACGCACCCACGAAGAACTCAAGTCAAGAGAGAGTCGGCAAGAGACTCTCAGCATTCTCTCCCGAAAGCACGTGTGTCCCGAGCTCCTGTGGTTTCAGGTGGCCGCGCGTAGAGGAGAGATTTCCAATGTTTCCGGAGAGGTGCGAGCCACAGTCACTCGGGGCATCCGAGCATGAGATGGGGTTTCTGACAGCGACTGAAGGGCCAGGAAGGGCCAGAATCTGCCAAGGCCCGGCGTTCCAGGGTGGGGCCGAGGGAACCCAAGGTAGAGGGAGTCAGCGGTCCGCACGGAGAGAGCTCCAGCCCTAGGCCCCACTGTGCAGACCGAATCAGAAGGAAGAGAGTCCTTCGTCCTACCTGCCACACCCCTCACATCCCCCCACTGAACTTGGGAGTGGATCCGTGTTCTAAACACGAGGTGACTCTCGGTTTGCAATGGATCACAAGGCGCCGGGCTTTCCAGAGTCAGCAGGATAAAGAAGTCATTCTGTCTCGGACTCCCCCATCCCCCGGTAACGGCGGCTGGTGCCTTTAAATGAGCCGAGGCTGGCCGGGCCGGAGCCGCTATGGGGGGGGGGGGGGTGCCTGTGGCACTGCAGAAAGTGGGCCTGAGCCTCGAGGATGGCGGTGCTGCAGGGACCCGTCCAGGCTGCTATATGGCAAGCACTAAACCACTATGCCTACCGAGATGCGGTTTCCCCCGCAGAACGCCTTTATGCAGAAGTACACTCAGAAGAAGCCTTGTTCTTACTGGCGACCTGTTCTTACCGCTCAGGAAAGGCCTATAAAACATATAGACTCTTGAAAGGACACAGTTGTACTACCCCGCAATGCAAATGCCTGCTTGCGAAATGTTGTGTTGATCTCAGCAAGCTTGCAGAAGGGGATCAAATCTTATCGGGTGGAGTGTTTCATAAGCAGAAAAGCCACGATGATATTATCGTTCCTGAGTTTGGTGATTCAGCTCGCTTTCCCCTTCCATCGTCGGGACATGTATATTGCAAGACAGATCGGCTTACCAAAGGATCAGAATGTGACCAAAAGAGCCTTCGTTGAAATCCTTTCCTTCTGGTGTCCCTTTGAATCATGATGTGAAATAGGGGGGAAAAGCCAGATCCTGACCAAACATTTTGATTCACCTCTCTAGAGAGCTTTAGCAACTGCCTGTCCAAGTGTTGCGCCACAACACTTGGACCTCGTCCTAGTTTATGTCACAGACAGCCCGAGACCGTTCTTACGGAAACACCCCAGGACACCGTCGAATGAAACGGATGGAATTTAGAATCTTCCAATTCAAAGTACTCCTTGAATACAGACTCCCCAGTGTCTTCTATCGATTCAGCTGTCCTTTCACCTGATACTGTCCCACTGGGAACAGGAACTTCCATATGATCTAAACAGGTTCAACATAAACCAAAAACTGGTCGAAGTTTATTAGGAGGACCAGCAGCTGTTAGTCCATTAACCCCAAGTGTTGGCATTTTGCCATTAGAAACCCCAAGTCCCGGAGACGGACCCTATTGACAAAACTGCACTGGTATGAGACACCGTCTGTCATTGACGTGCCATCCACCGGAGCCCCTTCAAAAAAGCCTGTTGCCAGAATCGGCCAAACCGGAACACCGTCTGTCTTCTCGCAGAGGGGAAAGAGCCGAAAGGTAACTCCAGTCCTTGCAAAAACACAAAGTTCTGGTCCGCCGACAAGGGCAACACCTCAGGTATTGAGCCCCACTATGGCATCTCCCCCAAATGCACCGCCTCGAAGAAATTCACGACTCTTGACTAGTGACAGCTCCACAACCGAGGAGAATAGGAGAAAATTAAAAATGAAGTTTCCACCTAAAATCCCAAACAGAAGAACCAAAAGTAAAACTAATAAAGGAGCAATAACTCCACCGAACATAAGTGATAGCCTGGAAGTGACAAAATTGGACTCTTCCGTCATTTCAGAAGGGAAAATAGCCACAATCGCGCCTCAGATTCAGGCTTTTAATCTACAAAAAGCAGCAGCGGAAGGCTTGATGAGCCTTCTTCGTGAAAGGGGGAAAGGTTATTTAGCTTTGTGTTCTTACCACGGCAAAGAAGCTATCAGCATCTTGAGCCATCTAGCTTCTCACCACTGCAATACCGGTTGGGTACTGTGCCAAATCGGAAGGGCCTATTGTAAACTTTCAGAGTCCACGCAAGCTGAAAGACAATTCTCAGAGGTTAGGAGGATTGAGAATTACAGAGTCGAAGGCATGGAGATCTACTCTACAACACTTTGGCATCCTCCGAAAGAGGTTGCTCTTTCAGTTCTGTCCAAAGACTTCACAGACATGGATAAAAATTCGCCAGCCAGAGGCCTGGTGTGCTGCAGGGAACTGTTTCGGTCTGCAACGGGAACACGATATTGCGATTCAATTCTTCCAGAGAACTCTCGAAGTGGATCCAAATGATGCTTATGCCTATAGCGCATTAGGGCGTGAGCTTGTCTTCACTGAAGAACTGGACAAAGCATTAGCTTGTTTTCGAAATGCTATCAGGGTCAATCCTAGACATTGTAAGGCATGGTAAGTGCTAATGAAGCGTAAAGACAAAGCCCTATGGATGGTGCCGGTACTCGCTAATTTTTCTGGTTAGATAGCTCTTTATTGTCACGAATTTGGTGAAAAATACTTAGGGATGGTACCTACTGCTGAATAACTTCTAACTAAGATGTTTCCTTACGAAACGTATGTCTTGAACAAACTCTGAAGTGAACTCATGATCGTAGAATACCAGATCCTTATACTCAACAGTTTCAGTCTTCTAGCAAACTTTTGCAGACGCTGTAGTTGTCTTTGGTTTGTGTGTGTGTTTCTTTAGTTGTGTTCCTTGATTTGTTACTTTTTCTTCGAGCACCGAAGTGGTGATGGGGACAAGAAGTGCTTGGGAGACTGGAAAGGAATAGCATAGTTCACTTATTGGATAATAGAAAAATACATGGAAACAATTCACTAGCTGCTGCTTTTTGACAGTGTTCCAGTTTACGGAGTTACTATGAAGAACTTCACGTACCCTTTAATTTAGCAGTCTCTCTGTTTTACTCTTTTGTACTCGTGTATAAGTAGGCACATAGGAAATTACTACCTAGGTCATATTGTTATCAACTGAATAAGATAGGAAAAAGTGTGGTCCTACTTCTGCCTCAACACCATCCTCACCGTTGACATTTATTGCGTTTCTCTGGACTGACTTCATAGTTTAAACGTCAAGAGAAGGCCGGGCTCAGTGGCTCACGCCTGTCATCCCAGCACTTTGGGAGGCCGAGGCGGGCGGGTCACGAGGTCAAGAGATCGAGACCATCCGGGCCGACACGGTGAAACCCCGTCTCTATTAAAAGTATAAAGATTAGCTGGGCGTGGTGGCGGGCACCTGTAGTCCCAGCTACTCGGGAGGCTGAGGCAGGAGAATCGCTTGAACCCAGGGAGGTGGCGGTTGCAGTGAGCCGAGATCACACCATCGCACTCCAGCCTGGGCGACAGAGCGAGACGCCGTCTCAAGAGAAATAAATTAAAAAAAATAAATACATACATAAGTAAATATCAAGAGAAAGTATGATTCTGAAGTCATAACCCTGTGGTAGTTATTTTGTCAGATACGGTGATCTTTGGGGTGACTTATTACAGCAGTGGAGTTCTATCATTTGATTTGCTTCTAAATCTGAAGCATTATATTACTGAAACACTTTTTGATTTGCGAATATGTTGTTTAATGGATCATATCTCATTTTGCTGTAGTAGTTACATTGCCCGAAAGATGGCCAAAAAGATAGTGCCAGCTACTGCTGACCAACGTAACAATCAACTTGCCAATACTGCCTTCTCTTCCGATAGCTACGTTCTCCGTCCTATTTTAAGAACTCAGTTCTTCATAAGACTTGTGTGGTTTTCGATTTTTTCCCAAGTCTGGTTGATCCTTGTGTTGTTATTTTTTTAAATGTGTATCGTCTGTTCAGCTATTTTGCAGGAGTCGCATTCTTAAAAAAATCTTAACCCTATCAAAAATTGTGTTTGTTTAAAGGAGGATTATTCAGATTGGCCAGCTTTTACTAGGAAGAGTGTAAATGCTGACGTATTTAGGTAGCTCTAAATACTGAGCAACTTTATTCTAACCACAAAATAGATAGCCTTTCTTTTGTCTTCACTTTCACTATCATTAGCACAGTGTTTAATACCGTTTCTTCATCTATAACACAATTATAATGATATAGGAAGCCACTCAAATAAGGCAGACATGTTGCGTTGCGCTTAAAAAAAAAAAAAAAAAGAAGTCTCTCTGTGGCACGGAATGAGGTGTGGCTCGAATCTAGAATCTCCAGTGAAAACCAATGAAAGAGGGTGAAACCCCGTGTCTACCAAAAAAAAAAAAAAAAAAAAAGAGCCGGCCATGGTGGCGCTGAGACAGGAGAATCACTTGAACCCAGGAGGCAGAGGTTCCAGTGAGCTGAGATCACGCCACTGCACTCCAGCCTGGGGGACAGAGCAAGACTCCATCTCAGAAACAAACAAACACACAAAGCCAGTCAAGGTGTTTAATTCGACGGTGTCAGGCTCAGGTCTCTTGACAGGATACATCCAGCACCCGGGGGAAACGTCGATGGGTGGGGTGGAATCTATTTTGTGGCCTCAAGGGAGGGTTTGAGAGGTAGTCCCGCAAGCGGTGATGGCCTAAGGAAGCCCCTCCGCCCAAGAAGCGATATTCATTTCTAGCCTGTAGCCACCCAAGAGGGAGAATCGGGCTCGCCACAGACCCCACAACCCCCAACCCACCCCACCCCCACCCCTCCCACCTCGTGAAATGGGCTCTCGCTCCGTCAGGCTCTAGTCACACCGTGTGGTTTTGGAACCTCCAGCGTGTGTGCGTGGGTTGCGTGGTGGGGTGGGGCCGGCTGTGGACAGAGGAGGGGATAAAGCGGCGGTGTCCCGCGGGTGCCCGGGACGTGGGGCGTGGGGCGTGGGTGGGGTGGCCAGAGCCTTGGGAACTCGTCGCCTGTCGGGACGTCTCCCCTCCTGGTCCCCTCTCTGACCTACGCTCCACATCTTCGCCGTTCAGTGGGGACCTTGTGGGTGGAAGTCACCATCCCTTTGGACTTTAGCCGACGAAGGCCGGGCTCCCAAGAGTCTCCCCGGAGGCGGGGCCTTGGGCAGGCTCACAAGGATGCTGACGGTGACGGTTGGTGACGGTGATGTACTTCGGAGGCCTCGGGCCAATGCAGAGGTATCCATTTGACCTCGGTGGGACAGGTCAGCTTTGCGGAGTCCCGTGCGTCCTTCCAGAGACTCATCCAGCGCTAGCAAGCATGGTCCCGAGGATCCCAGCTCCCAGCAGAGGCACTTTTGGTCACACAGGATCCTGGGCAGGAAAGTTCTCAGCAGGCTTAGGCCTCCTAGCCAAAAAGCCAAAACCACTTCTGGGATTTTTTTCAAAGAGCCAGTGGTTCCACAAGGGGCCGTGGGTAGTTGTGGAAATGGAGAGAAGTGTTTGCACGTACATATTTGAGACAGGACGGACAGGGCTCGGTCACAGATCACTTAGGACACGGGCAGATGCACATTGAGAAAACTCTTCCGGCATCCTAGGGGAACAGAGGTACGATTTTTCGAGACAGTCGAGGGAGAAGCCACCCCAGATTTTAGGATTGGATCTTTATTCATATGTAGTTTCTATGAGGTATCCAAGTCCAGAAATCAACTCGCCAGTTCTGTACAGCATTCTGTAGGGAGATCAAATCTGGGATGTCAGAAGTGAAGAATTCAGGCCTTGGTAAGGGATTAGATTAGATGTACTTGAGCTTCTTTTGCAAAAAAAGAGAGGGCGGGAGATAGCGAGAGCCAGAGACCGAGACAGACAGACGGACAGACAGACAGAGAGAGAGAGAGAGAGAGAGAGAGACAGAGAGACAGAGACAGAGACAGACAGAGAGAGACAACGATACACAGAGAGAGAAAGACAGAAAGAGAGAGAGAGACAGATAAAGAGACAGACGGAGAGAGACAGATAAAGAGACAGACGGAGAAAGACAGAGATGGACAGAGACAGAGAGAAACAGAAAGAGAGAGAAACAGACAGGAAGGGAGAGAGACAGGCAGAGAGAGAGAGACAAACAGACAGGCAGACAGACAGGCAGAGAAAGAGAGTAAGACAGAAGGCAGACACACACACACACACACACACACACATACACACACACACACACACACACCCCCACAGAGAGAGAGAGACAGAGAGAGAGACAGAGACAGACAGAGAGACAGAGAGAAAGAGACAGAGAGAGAAAGACAGACAGAGAGAAACAGACAGAAAGAGAGACACAGACAGAGACAGAGAAACAGCCGACGGGGGGAGAGAGAGAGAGAGACAGACAGAGAGAGACAGACAGACAGACAGGCAGAGAAAGACAGTAAGACAGAAGACAGACACACAGAGAGAGAGAGAGAGACAGAGACAGAAAGAAAGACAAAGACAGAGAGAGAGAGAGAGAGAGAGAGAGAGAGAGAAACAGACAGGGGGAGAGAGAGAGAGAGACAGACAGACAGGGAGAGAGAGAGAGAGAGACTAAGACAGAAGACAGACACAGTGAGAGAGACAGAGACAGAGAGAAGGAAAGACAAAGACAGACAGACAAAGAGACAGACAGAGAAAGACAGAGACGGACAGAGAGACAGAGAGAAACAGAAAGAGAGAGAGAGACACACAGAGAGAGAGAGTGAGAGAGACAGGCAGGCAGAGAGAGAGAGTAAGACAGAAGACAGAGTGAGAGAGACAGGCAGAGAGAGACAGAGAGAAGGAAAGAGAGAGACAGTCAGAGAAAGACAGAGACGGAGAGAGAGAAACAGAAAGAGAGAGAGAGACAGAGACAGAGAGAAACATACAGACAGGGAGAGAGAGAGAGAGAGACCGACAGACAGACAGAGAAAGGGAGTAAGACAGAAGACAGACACAGTGAGAGAGACAGGCAGAGAGAGAGAGAGAGAGAGAGAGGCAGAGAGAGAGAAACAGACAGGCAGAGAGAGAGAGACACAGAGAGAGAGAGAGAGAGAAGACAGACAGAGAAAGAGAGAGACAGAGACAGACAGAGAGACAGAGAGAGGGGGAGGAAGGGCGTGCTCAAGAAATAATCACACATATTTTATAATGCTTTTGATCCCATAAACGGTGGCCGGGGTATACTTTGAAAACAACGACAACGACAACAACAACGACAACGACAACAGCAACGACGACAACAACAACAACAACAACAGCAACAAGAGCAGCAGCAGCATTCGCCTACGGATTTCTAGAAAATAAGATGTCATGATGAAGGATAGTAAACATCAACCGGCTCTCACTGCACGTTGAGAGAGTCACAAAAGCGCTAGTTCACAACAGGAAAAAACGGCAGCTAACGTGTCTTGGGGAAAATAGACGTCTTCCTGAAAACTGGGGATTTCTACTTCACCTGAAAAGAAAGACATACGAGAAAGGAAAAACACGAACAAAACAAAACAGAACGAAACAAAACAAGCCAACAAACACGGGCCAAGGCGCCGTCCCTGGAAATCTTAAGTGAGCAAAGTTATTAGTTTTCAGAAAGCGTTTCTATTTTGGGCAAGTACTGAGAAGGCCCAGACTAGAGCCGTGGCGCCCTTCGCATTGTGAAACTCTGCTGGCCGGAGGGCGGAGAAACTAAAACATCGTGATAAAAGGTGACCGAGACCCAGCCAGGGTGAAGCTTTCCTAGGGAGGGAGGCCTGAGGCGGGAAGCAGCGGGGGGAAAAGCCTCACAACTGCAGACCCGCCCGCTTGCCCACGCGGGTCAAGGGGCTATGCCATCGGCCCAAGCTGCCTCCGGGGAAGTGGGACCGTGCCGCCCCCATCTTCAAAAACGGTGGCCCCCGAGTGAGGCCTGACGCCCACCGATGCAAATGTCAGCCTGGCAAGAATGAGATCGCCGGCAAGGGGTGGGGGAAGGGGAGAGAAGACGGAGGCACACCGGGGTGGCTCTGGAAGGTTTCCAAGCAGGGTGTTGGGAGGCG
Organism: Homo sapiens; assembly: GCF_000001405.40. Taxonomy (NCBI): domain Eukaryota; kingdom Metazoa; phylum Chordata; class Mammalia; order Primates; family Hominidae; genus Homo; species Homo sapiens. The sequence goes on along the minus strand of NW_021160023.1, from coordinate 510,323 downwards.
GGGGGGGGGGGGCGGTTTGGGGGAAACCCACCTAACCGACTCACTAAATTAAGGTGAAGGGACGTGGGTAGTGGGGGGAGCCGGGGGGCAACTTGAAAATTAAACTGACCCTTCCCAAAGCCCAAGTAGAAGAGTCTAGGCGCCAAAACACAAAGAAAAGTAAAGCGCCGATCAAAGAACAATAGGGCCCCCGCCAGGGCGGAGGTTCCCTAGGCGAGGTTCCCTAGGCAACGAGGGAGAGAGGGAGGGGCCTCCAGAAGGGAGAGAGAGAAACCCGTTGCCCCAGGCTCGGTGAAGTCGGCGAGACCTCCCTCCGTGTCACGTCGACTTTCAATAACAGTGGCCGCTAGGTGATGCCCGAAGACAACCGATGCCTGCCTGCAAATGTCCGTCAGCAGGGAAAAGAATTAATGAATTAATTAATTTCCGTATTTATTTAGAGACCGAGTCTCACTCACTCTACAGCCTGGGCCGTAGTGCAGTGGCGCGATCTCGGCTCCCTGCAGCCTCCGCTTCCCTGGTTCAAGCGATTCTCCCGCCTCAGCCTCCCGAGGAGCTGGCATTACAGGGGCCTGCCCCACCGCTCCCGACTCAGCTTTGTATTTTTAGTAGAGACGGGGTTTCGCCGTGTTGCGTCCGGCCTTAACAGTTTATGTTGAAGTCGAGGAGCTTATCGGGGAAATAGGAGAAGTACGGACGCCACACGTGACCGAGAGAAAAGTCTGAAAATGCCCCTCGCATCCAAGCGGGGACCCGGCCTCGACCTCCCGAAATCGTACACCGAGTGGGGAAGCCCAGCAAGGCCCGCCTGTCTAGATTCCTCTCGGCCTCTCTAAGCACCGAAGCACGCGCTTCTCACTCTCGTGGAAGGGGCAGGGCCCTACCCGGCACGGGGGTGTCTGACAGACTGACAGAGAAAGAGACAGACATAGAAAGACAGAGATGGACAGCGAGAGATAGAGAGAAACAGACAGAAAGAGAAAGAGAGAGAGACAGAGACAGAGACAGAGAGAGAGAGACAGACAGACAGACAGGGAGGGAGAAAGACAAACAGAGAGAGAGAGAGAGAGAGAGAGAGAGAGAGAGACAGACAGACAGACAGACAGACAGAGAAACAGACAGAAAGAGAGAGAGAGACGGAGAGAGAGTGAGTGAGAGGGAGAGAGAGAGACATGGAGGGAGAGAGACAGACAGAGAGAGAAACAGACAGAAAGAGAGAGAGAGACGGAGAGAGAGTGAGTGAGAGAGAGAGAGAGAGACATGGAGGGAGAGAGACAGACAGAGAGAGAAACAGACAGAAAGAGAGAGAGACGGAGAGAGAGTGAGTGAGAGAGAGAGAGAGACATGGAGGGAGAGAGACAGACAGACAGAGAGGCAGGCAGAGAAAGAGAGTAAGACAGAAGACAGACACAGTGAGAGAGACAGGCAGAGAGAGAGAGAGACAGAGACAGAGAGAGAGAAAGAGAAAGAGACAGACAGAGATGGACAGAGAGACAGAGACAGAGAGAGAAACAGACAGACAGGGAGGGAGGGACGGAGACAGGCAGAGAGAGAGAGACAGGCAGACAGCCAGAGAAAGAGAGTAAGACAGAAGATAGGCACAGAAAGAGAGACAGACACAGAGAGAGACAGAGAGACAGAGAAAAAGAAAGAGAGAGACAGACAGACAGAGAAAGAGACAGACAGAGAGAGAAAGAGAGAAACAGACAGAAAGAGAGAGAGAGAGAAACAGAAAGGGAGGGAGAGAGAGGGAGAGACAGACAGACAGACGGACAGGCAGAGAAGGAGAGTAAGACAGAAGACAGACACACACAGTGAGAGAGACAGACAGAGAGAGAGAGAGAGAGAGAGAGAGAGAGAGAGAGAGGCAGAGACAGAGACAGAGAGAAAGAGAGAGACAGACATAGAAAGACAGAGATGGACAGAGAGACAGAGAGAAACACCCAGAAAGAGAGAGAGAGACAGAGAAAGAGAAAGGGAGGGAGAGAGAGAGAGAGAGAGAGAGAGAGAGACAGACACACAGACAGGCAGGCAGGCAAGGAAACAGAGTAAGACAGAAGATAGGAACAGAGAGAGAGAGAGAGAGACAGAGAGACGCAGAAAAAGAAAGAGAGAGGCAGACAGACAGAGAAAGACAGAGACAGACAGAGAGAAACAGGCAGAAAGAGAGAGAGAGAGAGAAAAACAGACAGGAAAGGAGAGAGAGAGAGAGACAGAGAGAGAAAGAGAATAAGACAGAAGACAGACACAGTGAGAGAGGCAGAGAGAGAGAGAGAGAGAGAGAGACAGAGACAGAGACAGAGAGAAAGAGACAGACAGACAGAGAAAGAGACAGACAGAGAAAGACAGAGAGAGAAAGAGAGAAACAGGCAGAGAGAGAGAGAGCTAGCGAGAGAGAAACAGAAAGGTAGGGAGAGAGAGAGAGAGACAGACAGACAGATGGACAGGCAGAGAAGGAGAGTAAGACAGAAGACAGACACAGTGAGAGAGACAAGGAGAGAGAGAGAGAGAGAGACAGAGACAGAGACAGAGACAGACGACAGAAAGAAAGAGAGAGACAGACAGACAGAAAAAGACAGAGACGGACAGAGAGAGACAGAGAAACAGAGAGAAAGAGAGAAAGACAGAGAGAGCGAGAGAGGGAGAGAGAGAGAAACAGAAAGGCAGGGAGAGAGACAGAGAGAGACAGACAGATAGACAGGCAGAGAAAGAGAGTAAGACAGAAGATAGGCACAGAGAGAGAGACAGAGAGACACAGAAAGAGAAAGAGAGAGGCAGACAGACAGAGAAAGGGACAGACAGAGAAAGACAGAGACAGAGAGAGAGAGAGAGAGAGAGAGAGAGAAACAGACAGAAAGAGAGAGGGACAGGGAGAGAGAGAGACAGACAGACAGACGGACAGGCAGAGAAGGAGAGTAAGACAAAAGATACACACAGAGAGGGAGAGACAGAGAGAGAGAGAGACAGAGACAGAGACAGAGAGAATGAAACAGACAGACAGAGAGAGACAGTGAGAAACAGACAGAAAGAGAGGGAGACAGAGAGAAACAGACAGGGAGGGGGGAGAGAGAGAGAGAGAGAGAGAAGCAGAAAGGGAGGGAGAGACAGAGAGAGACAGACAGACAGGCAGAGAAAGAGAGTAAGACAGAAGATAGGCACAGAGAGAGAGAGAGACAGACAGAGAGACACAGAAAAAGAAAGAGAGGGGCAGACAGACAGAGAAAGAGACAGATAGAGAAAGAGAGAGGCAGACAGAGAGAGACAGAAACAGACAGAAAGAGAGAGAGAGAGAAACAGACAGGGAGGGAGTGAGAGAGAGACAGACGGGGAGAGAAAGAGAGTAAGATAGAAGACAGACACAGTGAGACAGGCAGAGAGGGAGAGAGAGGGACAAAGACAGAGACAGAAAGAAAGAAAGAGACAGACAGACAGACAGACAGACAGAGAAAGAGACACAGAGAGAAAGACAGAGACGAACAGAGAGAAACAGACAGAGAGAAGGCCCTAGCCCAGTAGCAATACAGTGCCTTTTCTTTCATTTTCTCTTTCTTTTCTTTTCTTTTTTTCTTTCTTGTATATCTGTATGTATGTATGTATGTATGTATGTATGTATGTATGTATGTGTGTATTTATTTATGTACGTATTTATCTGGAGACCGGGTCTCACTCTGTCGCCCAGGCTGTAGTGCAGTGGTGCGATCTTGGGTCACTGCAGCCTCCGCCTGCCAGGTTCAAGCAATTCTTCCACCCCAGCCTCCCGAGTAGCTGGGGTTACAGGTGCCTGCCCCACGGCGCCTGACTCCATTTCGTATTTTCAGTAGAGACGGGGGTTTCACCACGTTGGCCGGGCTGGTCTCGAACTCCTGACCTCGGGATGACAGACGTGAGCCACTGCGTTCAGTGTACAGTACCATTTCTTAGAAATCACTCCTCACGGGAACACACACTTATGGGTGACGTGTAGAGATTTTAGTTAGTTAGTTAGTTAGTTAGTTATTATGTGCGCGGGGAGGTGGGGGGACGGAGTTTGGCTCTTGCTGCCCAGGCTACAGTGCAATGGCCTAGGGGACTCAAGGAGTCAACCTATGGCAGAGAGGACACGTCATTCTGAGCGTAAGGGCCGCAGCGAAAGGTGGCAGGGCCCGCGCTTTTAAAGGCTGAAATCCCGGCGGCTCAGGCCTGTCGTTTCCAGCACTTTGGGAGGCCCAGGAAGGTGGATCATTTGTGGTCAGGAGTTCGAGACCAGCGTGGCCAACGTGGAGAAACCCCGTCTCTACTAAAAATAGAACGATGAGCCGGCCGTCATGGTGCGCACCTGTAATCCCAGCTACCGAAGAAGAATCACTGGAACCCGGGAAGCAGAGGTTTCAGTGAGCCGAGAGAGCGCCACCGCACCGCAGCCTGGGTGACAGAGCGAGAGAGACTCAGTCCAAAAAAAAAGAAAGAAAAGAAGAAGAAGAAAAAAAGAACGGGCCCAAATACTGCATTGTCGCTGAACGTTCTCCCAAAAGGCCAGAAACCCCCTGACTCAGGTCAAGGAGGTGGTGGTTGGTTTTACTTCTCTTTCTCTCTCTCTCTCTCTCTCTCTCTCTCTCTCTCTCTCTCTCTCTCTCCCCCCCCCTCTCCCCCCTCTCTCCCCGTCTCTCTCTCTCTCTCCTCTCTTCTCCCCCCCGAACTTTTATTTGTCGTTCAAGCATACATGAGCAAGACTGTGACATAGGTAAACTTGTGACGGGGGTGTTCAGTGTGCAGATGATTTCATCACCCGGGTAGTCAGTGCTGTGTCCGACAGTATTCGTGTTTTGTTTTCTTCCTGAAGCTGTCTCTCCTTCCACCCCTCCTCCCTCAAGCAGGCTTCCGCGTCCCCGGTCCCCCTCGTTCTGCCCATGCAAGAACTGTCATCTGTAAGTTCCCACTTCTAGATGAGAACACGCGGTATTTAGCCGATCTTTGCTTTCATCTTCGGTGGTGGCGGTGAAAGAGGCATGACACTAAATCGACCCTTAGGACGCCGTTTATGTTGAAGTCGAGGAGCTTATCGGGGAAATAGGAGAAGTACGGACGCCACACGTGACCGAGAGAAAAGTCTGAAAATGCCCCTCGCATCCAAGCGGGGACCCGGCCTCGACCTCCCGAAATCATACACCGAGTGGGGAAGCCCAGCAAGGCCCGCCTGTCTAGATTCCTCTCGGCCTCTCTAAGCACCGAAGCACGCGCTTCTCACTTTCGTGGAAGGGGCAGGGCCCTACCCGGCACGGGGGTGTCTGACAGACTGACAGAGAAAGAGACAGACATAGAAAGACAGAGATGGACAGCGAGAGATAGAGAGAAACAGACAGACAGGGAGAGAGAGAGAGAGAGAGAGAGAGAGAGAAACAGACAGGGAGGGAGAAAGACAAATAGAGAGAGAGACAGACAGACACACAGAAAGACAGAGACAGAGAGAAACAGACAGAAAGAGAGAGAGACGGAGAGACAGTGAGTGAGAGAGAGAGAGAGAGAGACATGGAGGGAGAGAGACAGACAGACAGACAGAGAGGCAGGCAGAGAAAGAGAGTAAGACAGAAGACCGACACAGTGAGAGAGAAAGGCAGAGAGAGAGAGAGAGAGAGAGAGAGAGAGAGAGAGAGAGAGAGACAGAGAGAGACAGAGAGAGACAGAGAGAAAGAAAGAGAGAGAAAGAGAAAGAGACAGACAGAAATGGACAGAGAGAGAAACAGACAGACAGGGAGGGAGGGACGGAGACAGGCAGAGAGAGAGAGAGAGAGAGAGAGAGAGAGAGACAGGCAGTCAGCCAGAGAAAGAGAGTAAGACAGAAGATAGGCACAGACAGAGAGACAGGCACAGAGAGAGACAGAGAGACAGAGAAAAAGAAAGAGAGAGACAGACAGACAGAGAAAGAGACAGACAGAGAGAGAAAGAGAGAAACAGACAGAAAGAGAGAGAGAGAGAGAGAGAAACAGAAAGGGAGGGAGAGAGAGGGAGAGACAGACAGACAGACGGACAGGCAGAGAAGGAGAGTAAGACAGAAGACAGACACACACAGTGAGAGAGACAGACAGAGAGAGAGAGAGAGAGAGAGGCAGAGACAGAGACACACACACAGTGAGAGAGACAGACAGAGAGAGAGAGAGAGAGGCAGAGACAGAGACAGGGAGAAAGAGAGAGACAGACAGAGAAAGACAGAGATGGACAGAGAGACAGAGAGAAACAGATAGAAAGAGAGAGACAGAGAGAGAGAGAGGCAGAGGCAGAGACAGAGACAGGGAGAAAGAGAGAGACGGACAGAGAAAGACAGAGATGGACAGAGAGACAGAGAGAAACAGACAGAAAGAGAGAGAGACAGAGAGAGAGAGAGACAGACAGACAGACAGGCAGGCAGAGAAACAGAGTAAGACAGAAGATAGGCACAGAGAGAGAGAGACAGAGAGACGCAGAAAAAGAAAGAGAGAGGCAGACAGAGAAAGACGGAGACAGGCAGAGAGAAACAGACAGAAAGAGAGAGAGAGAGAGAGAGAAAGAGACAGGAAGGGAGAGAGAGAGACAGACAGACAGAGAAAGAGAATAAGACAGAAGACAGACACAGTGAGACAGGCAGAGAGAGAGAGACAGAGAGAGAGAGACAGAGACGGAGACAGAGAGAAGGAGACAGACAGACAGAGAAAGAGACAGACAGAGAAAGACAGAGACAGACAGAGAGAGAAAGAGAAACAGGCAGAGAGAGAGAGAGAGAGAGAGAGAGAGCGAGAGAGAAACAGAAAGGGAGGGAGAGAGAGAGAGACAGACAGACAGACGGACAGGCAGAGAAGGAGAGTAAGACAGAGGACAGACACAGTGAGAGAGACAAGCAGAGAGAGAGAGAGAGACAGAGACAGAGACAGACAGAAAGAAAGAGAGAGACAGACAGAAAAAGACAGAGACGGACAGAGAGAGACAGAGAAACAGAGAGAAAGAGAGAAAGACAGAGAGAGCGAGAGAGGGAGAGAGAGAGGGAGAGAGAGAGAGAAACAGAAAGGCAGGGAGAGAGACAGAGAGAGACAGACAGACAGACAGGCAGGCAGGCAGAGAAAGAGAGTAAGACAGAAGATAGGCACAGAGAGAGAGACAGAGAGACACAGAAAGAGAAAGAAAGAGAGAGGCAGACAGACAGAGAAAGACAGAGACAGAGAGAGAGAGAGGAACAGACAGAAAGAGAGAGGGACAGAGAGAGAGAGAGACAGAAAGGGAGAGAGAGACAGACAGACAGACAGACAGACGGACAGGCAGAGAAGGAGAGTAAGACAGAAGATACACACAGAGAGTGAGAGACAGAAAGAGAGAGAGAGAGAGAGAGAGAGAGAGAGACAGACAGACAGAGAGAACGAAAGAGACAGACAGAGAGAGAGAGAGATGGACAGAGAGAGACAGTGAGAAACAGACAGAAAGAGAGAGAGACGGAGAGAAACAGACAGGGAGAGGGGGAGAGAGAGAGAGAGAGAGAGAGAAACAGAAAGGGAGGGAGAGACAGACAGACAGGCAGAGAAAGAGAGTAAGACAGAAGATAGGCACAGAGAGAGAGAGAGAGAGACAGACAGACAGACAGAGAGAGAGAGACCGACAGAGAGACACAGAAAAAGAAAGAGAGAGGCAGACAGACAGAGAAAGAGACAGACAGAGAAAGACATAGACAGACAGAGAGAGACAGAAACAGACAGAAAGAGAGAGAGAGAAACAGACAGGGAGGGAGAGAGAGAAACAAACAGGGAGGGAGAGAGAGAGAGAGAGACAGACGGGGAGAGAAAGAGAGTAAGACAGAAGACAGACACAGTGAGACAGGCAGAGAGGGAGAGAGAGAGACAAAGACAGAGACAGAGACAGAGAGAAAGAAAGAGACAGACAGACAGAGAAAGAGACACAGAGAGAAAGACAGAGACGAACAGAGAGAAACAGACAGAGAGAAGGCCCTAGCCCAGTAGCAATACAGTGCCTTTTCTTTCATTTTCTCTTTCTTTTCTTTTCTTTTTTTCTTTCTTGTATATCTGTATGCATGGATGTATGTATGTATGTATGTATGTATGTATGTATGTATGTATGTGTGTATTTATTTATGTACGTATTTATCTGGAGACCGGGTCTCACTCTGTCGCCCAGGCTGTAGTGCAGTGGTGCGATCTTGGGTCACTGCAGCCTCCGCCTGCCAGGTTCAAGCAATTCTTCCACCCCAGCCTCCCGAGTAGCTGGGGTTACAGGTGCCTGCCCCACGGCGCCTGACTCCATTTCGTATTTTCAGTAGAGACGGGGGTTTCACCACGTTGGCCGGGCTGGTCTCGAACTCCTGACCTCGGGATGACAGACGTGAGCCACTGCGTTCAGTGTACAGTGCCATTTCTTAGAAATCACTCCTCACGGGAACACACACTTAGAGGTGACGTGTAGAGATTTTATTTATTTAGTTAGTTTAGTTAGTTAGTTAGTTTGTTAGTTAGTTATTATGTGCGCGGGGAGGTGGGGGGACGGAGTTTGGCTCTTGCTGCCCAGGCTACAGTGCAATGGCCTAGGGGACTCAAGGAGTCAACCTACGGCAGAGAGGACACGTCATTCTGAGCGTAAGGGCCACAGCGAAAGGTGGCAGGGCCCGCGCTTTTAAAGGCTGAAATCCCGGCGGCTCAGGCCTGTCGTTTCCAGCACTTTGGGAGGCCCAGGAAGGCGGATCATTTGAGGTCAGGAGTTCGAGACCAGCGTGGCCAACGTGGAGAAACCCCGTCTCTACTGAAAATAGGAATATGAGCCGGCCGTCATGGTGTGCGCCTGTAATCCCAGCTACCGAAGAAGAATCACTGGAACCCGGGAAGCAGAGGTTTCAGTGAGCCGAGAGAGCGCCACCGCACCGCAGCCTGGGTGACAGAGCGAGAGAGACTCAGTCCAAAAAAAAAGAAAGAAAAGAAGAAGAAAAAAAAAGAACGGGCCCAAATACTGCATTGTCGCTGAACGTTCTCCCAAAAGGCCAGAAACCCCCTGACTCAGGTCAAGGAGGTGGTGTTTCGTTTTCTCTCTCCCTCCTCTCTCTCTCTCTCTGTCTCTCTCTGTCTCTCTCTCTCTCTCTCTCTCCTCTCTTCTCCCCCCTAACTTTTATTTGTCGTTCAAGCATACATGTGCAAGATTGTGACATAGGTAAACTTGTGACGGGGGTGTTCAGTGTGCAGATGATTTCATCACCCGGGTAGTCAGTGCTGTGTCCGACAGTATTCGTGTTTTGTTTTCTTCCTGAAGCTGTCTCTCCTTCCACCCCTCCTCCCTCAAGCAGACTTCCGCGTCCCCGGTCCCCCTCGTTCTGCCCATGCAAGAACTGTCATCTGTAAGTTCCCACTTCTAGATGAGAACACGCGGTATTTAGCCGATCCTTGCTGTCATCTTCGGTGGTGGTGGTGGTGGTGAAAGAGGCATGACACTAAATCGACCCTTAGGACGCTCCCCTCCGTCCCCACCCCGCACCCCCTCCCCACACACACCCTCATTCCCGCACCCCCTCCTCAAACGCAAGAAAGGAAGAAATGAAAGTAAGAGGTGAGCCTGCAAGGCGGTGGAGGCGGGGGATCTCAGAGGGCGAGCAAGCGATGGCGGTCGGGGGATGTGTCGGCTGAGGTATCAAAAATAGGGGACCCAGTTTTCAGCCCCAACACACCCCCTAATCCTCAGCCGCAGCCAGCCTCTGGGTGGGGTTGCGCCTGTCAAAGCTTCCGAATGGAGAGAAGCCCAAGGCTACGGAAGGCATCAGCTCCAACTCCAGGAAGGGAATAAGGCTCTGTGCATACGAATGGGGCTTTGAAAGGCGTTGCCGCGGCTTCCAAAGCGATGCGCTGTGCCTCGCCTCGCCTCGCCCCGCCCAGAGCGAGACTCCGTCTGAAAATAAGTACACAAATAAATCATAAGATAATTCATCAAGAAAGAAAGAAAGAAAGAAAGAAAGAAAGAAAGAAAGAAAGGATCAGTAGAGCGATGGTGGTCGTGAGTCATTCCCCGGAGTCCAGGCGCAGTGGCTCACGCCCGTCACGCCAGCACTTTGAGACGCCGGGCAGGAGGGTTGCAAAGAAATGATGAGACCCCGTCTGTGGGAAAACATTTAAAAATGAAGGCCGGGCGCGGTGGCTCACGCCTGTCATCCCAGCACTTCCGGAGGCCGGGGAGGGCGGATCACCTGAGGTCGGGAGTTCGAAACCAGCCCGATCGACATGGAGAAGCCCCGTCTCCACTAAAAATACGAAATCAGCCAGACGTGGCAGCGCATGCCCGCAATCCCGGCTACTCAGGAGGCCGATGCAGGAGAATCGCTTGAAACCGGGAGGCAGAGGTTGCGGTGAGCCAAGATCGCGCCACCGCACTGCAGTCTAGGCCACGAGAGTGAAACTCTGTCTCGGGGGAAAAAAAAACAATTAAAAACGGTGTGGGCACAGTGGCGCGTGCCCGCGGTCCCAGGCTCTGTACTCTGGAGGCTGAGGTGGAAGGATCGCTCGAGTCCAGGAGCGTCCACGCTGCAGGGAGTGAGTTACGACGGCACCACTGCCGGGGTGACGGAGCGAGATGCCGTCTCTAAATCAGTCAATGAGATCACTGGAAGGCGCTCTCTGCGTCTCACTTTCCAAGAGGGTCTCTTTGGGCCAAGCAGGCATGGTGCCTCCCGCCAGTCATCCCAGCACTTTGGGAGGCTGAGGCGGGAGGAAAGAAGGAAGGGAGGAAGGGAGGAAAGAAGAAAAGAAGAAAGGCAGGAAGGCAGGAAAGAAAGAGGGGAAGAGAGAAAAAGAAAAAGAAAGAAAGAAAGAAAGAAAGAAAGAAAGAAAAGAGAAGCAAAAAGAAGAAAAGAGAAGGGAAGAAAAGAAAAGCAAACGGGGAAGGGGCATATCTCCTTGACCGGTGACTGCCCAGGATACAGTGGGTCACGGCCGACCGAAGCCTCGACCTGTGGGGCCTCAAGTGATCTTCTCCTCGTCTCAGCCTCCCGAGTAGCCGCGACTACAGGCGGCCATCACCGCGCACAACTCATCTTATAATAACATCATGATTCTCTCGAGACGGGGTCTCGCTCCGTCATCCAGGCCGCATCGCCACGGCACGATCTCAGCTCATCGCAACCTCGGCCTCCCCGGTTGGAACAAGTCGCCCGCCCCAGTCTCCCGAGCGGTCGTGATTCCAAGCCCACGCCACCAGGCCCGGCTAATCGTTCTATTTTTCAGAGAGACGGGGTTTCGCCACGTCGGCCAGCCTGGTCTCGAACTCCCGGCCCCAAGCGATCCACCCGCCTCGGCCTCCCAAAGTGCCGGAGTGACAGGCGTGAGCTAGCGTGCCCGGCCCAGATCATCTTTTTCATCAATTGTAGAGAAGGGGTTTCGTCAGCCAACGGGTGGAGGGTGGGGCGGGTTTTACTCAGCCTGCGTACTGTGAAAAGGGGAAGTGAGTGTGCTCTGTGAACTAGATATGGAAATTGTGTGTGTGTGTGCGCGCGTGCGCGTGCGAGAGAGAGAGAGAGAGAGAGAGAGAGAGAGACCAATCCCACCACGAGGACCCGGAAATAGTGTTTGATCTGTGTCCCTGCCTAGTCACCTGTCTTGTGTGTCGATGACTGAGGATTCCACAAATGAAGGTCAGCGGTATCTATTGAGCTGTTTCTCCCTCTCGTGCGTCTCATCTGTGTGCTGGAGAAAGGGAAGAGAAGAGGTTCCGATGGGAAGTTGTCTTCACGCCTGAGGCAGCTGAAGGCAGACCGAAGGGAAGGAGGGCATCCTAGGTGACATTTCCATACCCACGCACCCTTTACAATGCTGGGGCTGCCAGTCCACCCTGTACGTCAACCCACCCCCAAGAACAGCACGGTCCGGGGTGGTCCAGTCTGATCCCAACCGGCCCACCCGGGGCATCCGGTGGAAGTCTTCGCCGGAGGATCCGAAGGCAGCATCAACGCGGTTCCCCTGGGGTCGCCCGGCAAAGGCCAGCCGGGGGAGGGTAGCGGGACGTGACGGGGGGGTGGGGGTCGCATCCGCCTCAGAGCTCCCTGGAAGGTGGCAGGTAGCCGGTGGGGCACGCCGAGCCAGAGACGTCCGGCAGGATATAGATCTGGAAGGCGTGTCAGTCCTCTCCCATACCTCTCCTATGGAAAATGCCAGGGCGGCGGTGGGAGCCTCGGCTGGGGGAGAAGCGGGGACAAGGGGGAGAGGGAAGGAGGCCCTCGGGAGGTTTCGGCACCGAAAACCCACTCAGCCAAGCTCCCTCCGTGTTTCCGGGTCCAAGGTACACCCCGGGAGACGGCAAGAGAAACGTTCACACCGTGCTTTCCGTCTTCGTGTTTATTTCTTTCATCTTTTCCATTTTACGAGAGATGCTCATTTCAACAACCAGACGGCGGATGTGACGGGAGAAGCGTCAAGGCCAGGAGTTTGAGACCAGCGTGAGCAACAGAGCAACACACGTAGGAGAGCCCAGCTGAAAGAAATGAAAGAGGAGGAGGAGGAGGAGGAGGAGGAGGAGGAGGAGGAGGAGGAGGAGGACGACGACAAGGGGGGGTGGGGGGGGAGGAGAAGGAAAGAAAAGAAAAGAAAAAAAAGAAAAAGGAAAACAACCACCACCAAGAAAGTTAAGATTCTCCAACGGTCGGAAGTTGAAGACCAGCCTGACCAAGATGGAGAAACCCCATCTGTAGTAAAAATAGAAAAATTAGCCGGGCACGATGGCTCATCTCTGTCATTCCAGCTACTCGGGAAGGCTGAGGCAGGAGAATCACTTGAACCTGGGAGGCGGAGGGTGCGGTGAGCCGAGAGCCGCCATCGTACTCCACCCTGGGCGACAAGAGTGAAACTCCGTCTAAAGAGAATAAAAAGAAAGAACGAAAAGGCGGATCGGTGAGATGCGTCTGGAAATTTTCTTCGTTCGCAGTCCCCGTATTAAAAACGGAAAGAACCGACCCACGACAAACACGACCAGAGCGTACCGTGCCCACGCGTGTCATCACAGCACTCCGGGAGGCCGATGCGGGAGGATCTCTGGAGCCTAAAAGTTCGAGATCACCTCGACACGTGAGATGACGCCTACAATAATAATAATCATAGAAGTTTGAAAAGAGACCACGTGTGCCCAGAGCATGGACAATAAAGCGAGAGCACATCCGTACTAAAAAGAAGACGATTGATAGGCAGGCAGGCAGGCAGGCAGGCAGGCAGGCAGGCAGGCAGGCAGGCAAATGTAGAAGGAGCCAGGCGCAGCGTCTCACGCCTGTAATAGCAGCAGTGTGGGCGGCCGAGGCAGGCAGGCGGATTGCTTGAGGACAGGAGTTCGAGACCAGCGTGGGCAACATGATAGAACCCCGAAACCCATCTCACTCACATACATACATACATACATAGATACACACACACACACACACACACACACACACACACACACACACACACACATACCTACCTACGGAAAACATGAGAAACAACATAAAAGTCAGCCGGTGTGGTGGTGCGCGCCTGTAGTCTCAGGTAATGGGGATGGGAGGGATCAGAGGCAGAACGACCGTTTGGTCGGTCCAAAGCGTTGAGGTTGGGGTGATCCTGGGCGGCAGAGACAGAGGAAGACCCTGCCAGTAAGGGAGGGAAGGAAGGAAGGAAGGAGGGAAGGAAGGAAGGAAGGAAGGAAGGAAGGAAGGAAGGAAATAAACAGGCAAGCAGGCAAGCAAACGATGAACGTGACAATGACACAGAAGAACCCATGAGAATAAACGAGCAAATAACAGGGTATGAATGAAGCTAAAAGGCAATTGAGATCGCAATCAATCGTTTTCTCTGCACCCCACCCCACCGCAGCCCACGTAAGCTGGAGTGGAAGTGTGCGATCACAGCCCACGTTAACCTCTCCCTCCCGGGCTTAAGAGATCCCTGTAGTCCCAGCTATTTGGGAGGCTGAGGTCACCAGAGCGCAGAGACAGAAGACCAGGCGGGCCGGCCCCAAAAGAAAAGAAAATAAATAAACGAAAATTATTAATAAATAATGAATGAAGGAAGGGAGGAAGGATATACATACACGTGTATGTAAATGAAATGGGGCTTCGATACATATTCATCCATTAAAAGTAACATAATATAAACGTATTAATTATGGAAATATCATTTACATAGTTTTATCACTACGGGGGGTGTGTGTGTGTGTGTGTGTGTGTGTGTGTGTGTGTGTGTGTGTGTGTGTGTGTGTATGTGTAGATGTATGTTCATACACGGCAGCGTTCAGAAAATAAGATTGAAAAAAGGAAGGAATCGGCCGGGCATGGTGGCTCACATCTGTACTCCCAGCAGTCTTTGGGAGGCCGAGGCGGGCGGATCACTAGGTCGGGAGTTCGAGACCAGCCCGGCCAAAATGGTGAAATTACGTCTTTACTCGAAATAGAAAACTTGCTGTTTGCTTGAACCGTGGAGGCAGAGGCAGCAGCAGCAGCGAGCCGAGAAGGCACCAAGGAGGGAGGGAGGGGAGAGAGACAGAGAGAGAGAGAGAGAGAGAGAAAGAAAGAAAGAAAGAAAGAAAGAAAGAAAAGAAAGAAAGAAAGAAAGAAAGAAAGAAAGAAAGAAAACGCAAGGCAAAACCAAAAAGCAAAAAAGGAGGAAGCATTACTGGCTGACGGCAGCAGTGACTCCCTCTTAAAAGTCCCGCGGACGCAAACTCGCAGTGGGGCTGAAAAAAATGTAGAAGAGGGAGTTCCGCGTGGTCCCAGCTCCACCGCGGGCCGAGGCCGGTGGAGGTCGCCGGCGCGTGAACCGGAATCGACGCCCTCGCGTCGGTGCGCCGCAGCGTCCGGCGGCCGCCTGCTGGTCGACCCGGGACACGTGCAGACGCCAGCTAAGTCCGGAGCTCGCGGGCGGCAGCTGGTCGACCCCGGAGGTGCCGACCGAGACGGGGACGCGGCGGGTCCGGCTCGTCCCGACGGGCACTCTTACACGCCGCTCGGTGGAGAAGGCCCGCCGGTCGACCCGGGACACGGCGAGACAGCGGCTAAGTGTCAAGAGCCGAGAAGGCACCAAGGAAGGGGAGAGAGGGAGGGAGGGGGAGGGAGAGAGAGAGAGAGAGAGAGAGAGAGAGAGAGAGAGAGAGAGAGAGAGAGAGACAGAGAGAGACAGAGAGAAAGAGAGAGAGAGAGAGGGCGAGAGCGAGAGACAGAGAGAGAGAGAGAGAGAGAGAGAGAAAGAGAAAGAGAAAGAAAACGAGCGAGGGAGAGAGCGAGAGAGCGAGAGCGAGAAAGAAAGAAAGAAAGAAAGAAAGAAAGAAAGAAAGAAAGAAAGAAAGAAAAAAAAAAAAAAAAAAAAAAGGCAAGACAAAACCTAAAAGCAAAAAAGGAGGAAGCATTACTGGCTGACGGCAGCAGTGACTCCCTCTTAAAAGTCCCGCGGACGCAAACTCGCGGTGGGGCTGAAAAAAATGTAGAAGAGGGAGTTCCGCGTGGTCCCAGCTCCACCGCGGGCCGAGGCCGGTGGAGGTCGCCGGCGCGTGAACCGGAATCGACGCCCTCGCGTCGGTGCGCCGCAGCGTCCGGCGGCCGCCTGCTGGTCGACCCGGGACACGTGCAGACGCCAGCTAAGTCCGGAGCTCGCGGGCGGCAGCTGGTCGACCCCGGAGGTGCCGACCGAGACGGGGACGCGGCGGGTCCGGCTCGTCCCGACGGGCACTCTTACACGCCGCTCGGTGGAGAAGGCCCGCCGGTCGACCCGGGACACGGCGAGACAGCGGCTAAGTGTCAAGAGCCGAGAAGGCACCAAGGAAGGGGAGAGAGGGAGGGAGGGGGAGGGAGAGAGAGAGAGAGAGAGAGAGAGAGAGAGAGAGAGAGAGAGAGAGAGAGAGACAGAGAGAGACAGAGAGAAAGAGAGAGAGAGAGAGGGCGAGAGCGAGAGACAGAGAGAGAGAGAGAGAGAGAGAGAGAAAGAGAAAGAGAAAGAAAACGAGAGAGGGAGAGAGCGAGAGAGCGAGAGCGGCAAAGAAAGAAAGAAAGAAAGAAAGAAAGAAAGAAAGAAAGAAAGAAAGAAGAAAAAAAAAAAAAAAAAAAGGCAAGACAAAACCTAAAAGCAAAAAAGGAGGAAGCATTACTGGCTGACGGCAGCAGTGACTCCCTCTTAAAAGTCCCGCGGACGCAAACTCGCGGTGGGGCTGAAAAAAATGTGAGAGAGGGAGTTCCGCGTGGTCCCAGCTCCACCGCGGGCCGAGGCCGGTGGAGGTCGCGGGCGCGCGAACGGGAATCGACGCCCTCGCGTCGGTGCGCCGCAGCGTCCGGCGGCCGCCTGCTGGTCGACCCGGGACACGTGCAGGCGCCGGCTAAGTCCGGAGCTCGCGGGCGGCAGCTGGTCGACCCCGGAGGTGCCGACCGAGACGGGGACGCTCCGGTTGCGGTTCGTCCCGACGGGCACTCCTACACGCCGCTCGGTGGAGAAGGCCCGCCGGTCGACCCGGGACACGGCGAGACGCCGGCTGAGTCTCACGCCCGCGGGCGGCAGGCGGTCGACCCCGGAGGCCCGACCGAGGAGAGGTCACGAGCGGAGGTCGGCCGGGTGCGCGGACGCCCCGTGGGGCCTCGCCGCCCGCCGCCCACCACCCGCGGTCTGCTGGTCGACCCGTGCGGAGGAGCGAGGAGGAAGGACGCGCGAGGGCCGGGACCCCGGGTGGCCGCCCCACCGGGGCCCGCGCGGCCAACCCCCGGGACGGGGACCGGCGGGCCACGGGCCCGGCTCGGCGCGGCCGCCTCCGCGGCTCCCAAACCACGCTCCCCGGACCCCGTCCCGGCCCGGAGCGGACGAGCCGCCCCGGCGGTGAACGGGGAGGAGGCGGGAACCGAAGAAGCGGGGCGCGCCGACCGGGGTCGCGCGCCCTCCCCCCCACCCCCACCACCACGCCCGCGGTCGGCGGGAGAGGCCGGGAGGGAGGAAGACGAACGGAAGGACGGACGGCGCCGGACGCGCACGCCCCGCCGGGCCCCCCGCACGCACGCGCGCGCGCGCGCGCGGACAAACCCTTGTGTCGAGGGCTGACTTTCAATAGATCGCAGCGAGGGAGCTGCTCTGCTACGTACGAAACCCCGACCCAGAAGCAGGTCGTCTACGAATGGTTTAGCGCCAGGTTCCCCACGAACGTGCGGTGCGTGACGGGCGAGGGGGCGGCCGCCTTTCCAGCCGCGCCCCGTTTCCCAGGACGAAGGGCACTCCGCACCGGACCCCGGTCCCGGCGCGCGGCGGGGCACGCGCCCTCCCGCGCGCGCGGGGCGCGTGGAGGGGGGGGCGGCCCGCCGGCGGGGACAGGCGGGGGACCGGCTATCCGAGGCCAACCGAGGCTCCGCGGCGCTGCCGTATCGTTCCGCCTGGGCGGGATTCTGACTTAGAGGCGTTCAGTCATAATCCCACAGATGGTAGCTTCGCCCCATTGGCTCCTCAGCCAAGCACATACACCAAATGTCTGAACCTGCGGTTCCTCTCGTACTGAGCAGGATTACCATGGCAACAACACATCATCAGTAGGGTAAAACTAACCTGTCTCACGACGGTCTAAACCCAGCTCACGTTCCCTATTAGTGGGTGAACAATCCAACGCTTGGTGAATTCTGCTTCACAATGATAGGAAGAGCCGACATCGAAGGATCAAAAAGCGACGTCGCTATGAACGCTTGGCCGCCACAAGCCAGTTATCCCTGTGGTAACTTTTCTGACACCTCCTGCTTAAAACCCAAAAGGTCAGAAGGATCGTGAGGCCCCGCTTTCACGGTCTGTATTCGTACTGAAAATCAAGATCAAGCGAGCTTTTGCCCTTCTGCTCCACGGGAGGTTTCTGTCCTCCCTGAGCTCGCCTTAGGACACCTGCGTTACCGTTTGACAGGTGTACCGCCCCAGTCAAACTCCCCACCTGGCACTGTCCCCGGAGCGGGTCGCGCCCGGCCGGCGCGCGGCCGGGCGCTTGGCGCCAGAAGCGAGAGCCCCTCGGGGCTCGCCCCCCCGCCTCACCGGGTCAGTGAAAAAACGATCAGAGTAGTGGTATTTCACCGGCGGCCCGCAGGGCCGGCGGACCCCGCCCCGGGCCCCTCGCGGGGACACCGGGGGGGCGCCGGGGGCCTCCCACTTATTCTACACCTCTCATGTCTCTTCACCGTGCCAGACTAGAGTCAAGCTCAACAGGGTCTTCTTTCCCCGCTGATTCCGCCAAGCCCGTTCCCTTGGCTGTGGTTTCGCTGGATAGTAGGTAGGGACAGTGGGAATCTCGTTCATCCATTCATGCGCGTCACTAATTAGATGACGAGGCATTTGGCTACCTTAAGAGAGTCATAGTTACTCCCGCCGTTTACCCGCGCTTCATTGAATTTCTTCACTTTGACATTCAGAGCACTGGGCAGAAATCACATCGCGTCAACACCCGCCGCGGGCCTTCGCGATGCTTTGTTTTAATTAAACAGTCGGATTCCCCTGGTCCGCACCAGTTCTAAGTCGGCTGCTAGGCGCCGGCCGAGGCGAGGCGCCGCGCGGAACCGCGGCCCCGGGGGCGGACCCGGCGGGGGGGACCGGCCCGCGGCCCCTCCGCCGCCCGCCGCCGCCGCCGCGCGCCGAGGAGGAGGGGGGAACGGGGGGCGGACGGGGCCGGGGGGGTAGGGCGGGGGGACGAACCGCCCCGCCCCGCCGCCCGCCGACCGCCGCCGCCCGACCGCTCCCCGCCCCCAGCGGACGCGCGCGCGACGAGACGTGGGGTGGGGGGGGGGGCGCGCCGGCGCCCGCCGGGCTCCCCGGGGGCGGCCGCGACGCCCGCCGCAGCTGGGGCGATCCACGGGAAGGGCCCGGCTCGCGTCCAGAGTCGCCGCCGCCGCCGGCCCCCCGGGTGCCCGGGCCCCCCTCGCGGGGGACCGTGCCCCCGCCGCCGGGGCCCCGCGGCGGGCCGCCGCCGGCCCCTGCCGCCCCGACCCTTCTCCCCCCGCCGCCGCCCCCACGCGGCGCTCCCCCGGGGAGGGGGGAGGACGGGGAGCGGGGGAGAGAGAGAGAGAGAGGGCGCGGGGCGGGGAGGGAGCGAGCGGCGCGCGCGGGGTGGGGCGGGGGAGGGCCGCGAGGGGGGTGCCCCGGGCGTGGGGGGGGCGGCGGCGCCTCGTCCAGCCGCGGCGCGCGCCCAGCCCCGCTTCGCGCCCCAGCCCGACCGACCCAGCCCTTAGAGCCAATCCTTATCCCGAAGTTACGGATCCGGCTTGCCGACTTCCCTTACCTACATTGTTCCAACATGCCAGAGGCTGTTCACCTTGGAGACCTGCTGCGGATATGGGTACGGCCCGGCGCGAGATTTACACCCTCTCCCCCGGATTTTCAAGGGCCAGCGAGAGCTCACCGGACGCCGCCGGAACCGCGACGCTTTCCAAGGCACGGGCCCCTCTCTCGGGGCGAACCCATTCCAGGGCGCCCTGCCCTTCACAAAGAAAAGAGAACTCTCCCCGGGGCTCCCGCCGGCTTCTCCGGGATCGGTCGCGTTACCGCACTGGACGCCTCGCGGCGCCCATCTCCGCCACTCCGGATTCGGGGATCTGAACCCGACTCCCTTTCGATCGGCCGAGGGCAACGGAGGCCATCGCCCGTCCCTTCGGAACGGCGCTCGCCCATCTCTCAGGACCGACTGACCCATGTTCAACTGCTGTTCACATGGAACCCTTCTCCACTTCGGCCTTCAAAGTTCTCGTTTGAATATTTGCTACTACCACCAAGATCTGCACCTGCGGCGGCTCCACCCGGGCCCGCGCCCTAGGCTTCAAGGCTCACCGCAGCGGCCCTCCTACTCGTCGCGGCGTAGCGTCCGCGGGGCTCCGGGGGCGGGGAGCGGGGCGTGGGCGGGAGGAGGGGAGGAGGCGTGGGGGGGGGGGCGGGGGAAGGACCCCACACCCCCGCCGCCGCCGCCGCCGCCGCCCTCCGACGCACACCACACGCGCGCGCGCGCGCGCCGCCCCCGCCGCTCCCGTCCACTCTCGACTGCCGGCGACGGCCGGGTATGGGCCCGACGCTCCAGCGCCATCCATTTTCAGGGCTAGTTGATTCGGCAGGTGAGTTGTTACACACTCCTTAGCGGATTCCGACTTCCATGGCCACCGTCCTGCTGTCTATATCAACCAACACCTTTTCTGGGGTCTGATGAGCGTCGGCATCGGGCGCCTTAACCCGGCGTTCGGTTCATCCCGCAGCGCCAGTTCTGCTTACCAAAAGTGGCCCACTAGGCACTCGCATTCCACGCCCGGCTCCACGCCAGCGAGCCGGGCTTCTTACCCATTTAAAGTTTGAGAATAGGTTGAGATCGTTTCGGCCCCAAGACCTCTAATCATTCGCTTTACCGGATAAAACTGCGTGGCGGGGGTGCGTCGGGTCTGCGAGAGCGCCAGCTATCCTGAGGGAAACTTCGGAGGGAACCAGCTACTAGATGGTTCGATTAGTCTTTCGCCCCTATACCCAGGTCGGACGACCGATTTGCACGTCAGGACCGCTACGGACCTCCACCAGAGTTTCCTCTGGCTTCGCCCTGCCCAGGCATAGTTCACCATCTTTCGGGTCCTAACACGTGCGCTCGTGCTCCACCTCCCCGGCGCGGCGGGCGAGACGGGCCGGTGGTGCGCCCTCGGCGGACTGGAGAGGCCTCGGGATCCCACCTCGGCCGGCGAGCGCGCCGGCCTTCACCTTCATTGCGCCACGGCGGCTTTCGTGCGAGCCCCCGACTCGCGCACGTGTTAGACTCCTTGGTCCGTGTTTCAAGACGGGTCGGGTGGGTAGCCGACGTCGCCGCCGACCCCGTGCGCTCGCTCCGCCGTCCCCCTCTTCGGGGGACGCGCGCGTGGCCCCGAGAGAACCTCCCCCGGGCCCGACGGCGCGACCCGCCCGGGGCGCACTGGGGACAGTCCGCCCCGCCCCCCGACCCGCGCGCGGCACCCCCCCCGTCGCCGGGGCGGGGGCGCGGGGAGGAGGGGTGGGAGAGCGGTCGCGCCGTGGGAGGGGTGGCCCGGCCCCCCCACGAGGAGACGCCGGCGCGCCCCCGCGGGGGAGACCCCCCTCGCGGGGGATTCCCCGCGGGGGTGGGCGCCGGGAGGGGGGAGAGCGCGGCGACGGGTCTCGCTCCCTCGGCCCCGGGATTCGGCGAGTGCTGCTGCCGGGGGGGCTGTAACACTCGGGGGGGGTTTCGGTCCCGCCGCCGCCGCCGCCGCCGCCACCGCCGCCGCCGCCGCCGCCCCGACCCGCGCGCCCTCCCGAGGGAGGACGCGGGGCCGGGGGGCGGAGACGGGGGAGGAGGAGGACGGACGGACGGACGGACGGGGCCCCCCGAGCCACCTTCCCCGCCGGGCCTTCCCAGCCGTCCCGGAGCCGGTCGCGGCGCACCGCCGCGGTGGAAATGCGCCCGGCGGCGGCCGGTCGCCGGTCGGGGGACGGTCCCCCGCCGACCCCACCCCCGGCCCCGCCCGCCCACCCCCGCACCCGCCGGAGCCCGCCCCCTCCGGGGAGGAGGAGGAGGGGCGGCGGGGGAAGGGAGGGCGGGTGGAGGGGTCGGGAGGAACGGGGGGCGGGAAAGATCCGCCGGGCCGCCGACACGGCCGGACCCGCCGCCGGGTTGAATCCTCCGGGCGGACTGCGCGGACCCCACCCGTTTACCTCTTAACGGTTTCACGCCCTCTTGAACTCTCTCTTCAAAGTTCTTTTCAACTTTCCCTTACGGTACTTGTTGACTATCGGTCTCGTGCCGGTATTTAGCCTTAGATGGAGTTTACCACCCGCTTTGGGCTGCATTCCCAAGCAACCCGACTCCGGGAAGACCCGGGCCCGGCGCGCCGGGGGCCGCTACCGGCCTCACACCGTCCACGGGCTGGGCCTCGATCAGAAGGACTTGGGCCCCCCACGAGCGGCGCCGGGGAGCGGGTCTTCCGTACGCCACATGTCCCGCGCCCCGCCGCGGGGCGGGGATTCGGCGCTGGGCTCTTCCCTGTTCACTCGCCGTTACTGAGGGAATCCTGGTTAGTTTCTTCTCCTCCGCTGACTAATATGCTTAAATTCAGCGGGTCGCCACGTCTGATCTGAGGTCGCGTCTCGGAGGGGGACGGGCCGCTCGGCGGACGGACGGACGGAATCGCGCCGGCCCGACCGCCCGCCCGACGCTCCGTCGGGAGACGGGCCCGGCGAGGGGGAGAGGCGACGGGAGAGAGAGCGCGCGGCCGGCGGCACCCCCGCGCCGCCCCGCCGGAGCGGGACGACCGGAGGGAGGGGCACGGGCCGGGGGCGGGACGGGCGCCGCACGCCCCGACCCGTCTCCCCCGCGGAGGTCGGGGGGACGGGTCCGAGGACGCGGCGGCGGAGCCGCCCCGCCCCGACGCGGAAGCTCGGGACGGGGCCCCGGCGCGGCGCGGCGCGGCCGCGAGCCGGAGGCGGGCGCGCGACGGCGGACGACACCGCGGCGTCCCGCGGGTCGCCGCCGGGGACACGCGAACCCCGGCGCCGCGGCCACGGGCGCGGCCGGGCGGGCCGCGGGGCGGGCTCCCGGCCCCGGCCGACGCGCCGCGAGGCGAGCCGGGCGGGCGGGCGCGCGTACGCGCGGGGAGGGCGAGGAGGACGGGCGGGGCCTCGGAGGAGGGGCGGCGGGGAGGAGGAGGGGCGCGGGAGCGGCGGTCGGCCGGACGCCGGGCCGCCACCGGGGGCGGGCGGCGAACCGCGGCGACCGGGACGCGCTCCCCCGACCCTCTCTCCCCGCCGGCACCCTTCCCCTTCCGGACCCGCCTTCCTCCTCCCCCACCACCACACCGCACGCAACACGCCCCCACCGCCGACGACGCGCGACGACGACGACGACGACGGGCACGGGACCTTCCACCCGGCCGGGGCCGACGAACCCCGAACCCCGAGCCGCGCGCGGCGCGAGGGAGCCCCCCGAGGGAGGAACCCGGACCGCAGGCGGCGGCCACGGGAACTCGGCCCGAGCCGGCTCTCTCTTTCCCTCTCCGTCTTCGCGGGCGGCGGCGGCGCCGCCCTCCCCGTCTCTCTCAGCCGGGCGCGCCCCCCTCTCCCCCCCGCCACCCGACGCGTGACCACGCAGGGCCCGCGGGGGGAGGGGGAAGGGGCGGGCGCGGCGGCAAGAGGAGGGCGGACGCCGCCGGGTCTGCGCTTAGGGGGACGGAGGGCCCCCGGCGGGCCCTGCGAGGGAACCCCCAGCCGCGCACCCCGAGGAGCCCGGAGGCACCCCCGGGGGCGATTGATCGGCAAGCGACGCTCAGACAGGCGTAGCCCCGGGAGGAACCCGGGGCCGCAAGTGCGTTCGAAGTGTCGATGATCAATGTGTCCTGCAATTCACATTAATTCTCGCAGCTAGCTGCGTTCTTCATCGACGCACGAGCCGAGTGATCCACCGCTAAGAGTCGTACGAGGTCGATTTGGCGAGGGCGCTCCCGACGACGCACCGGGAGGAGGCCCTTCCTGGCGCGGCACGTCCCCCCCCCCCCCGCCCAAGAGGAGAGGGGGTTGCCTCAGGCCGGCCAGACGAGACAGCAAACGGGACCGGACTCCGGAGAGGGGTCGGAAGGTTTCACACCACGGGGAGGCGCGCGCCGCCCACGCGGGGGCGAGCGCGGACACCACCCCACAGGCGCCCGGGGGTTCCCGCCCCCACGGCGCGGGGCGCACGCCACACGCGCGGCAGGCGCGCGACGGCCGCCGGGTAAAGCCCCCACCCGACGGCCGCCGCGGCGGCGGCGGCGGCGCGGCCCCGGCCGGGGAGCGGAGTCCGCGGTGGAGGCGCGGGAGGGGCCGGGCCCCTCCCGACGGGACTCCCCCGCGGGCCCACCACCGCCCCCGACCCACGGGCGGACGGGCGATCCCCCCAAGGGGTCTTTAAACCTCCGCGCCGGAACGCGCTAGGTACCTGGACGGCGGGGGGGCGGACGAGGAGGCGGGGGAGGGGACCGGCGTCCGGCCCCCGACCCTCGAGACGCCCTAGCGGGAAGGCCGGGGAGAGCGAGCGGGGCCGTGCCCGGCGGCGCGGAGCGGCGCGGCGGAGGCGACGGGAATCCGGCCGGCCCCGAAGACGGGGAGCCGGCGCGGCGGGGCCGGACGACGGGCCCCGGCGGGGAGGAGGGCACCGAGACCCCCCCAGACCCGCCGCGACGCCGCCGAGAACCGCCCCCGCGCCCGCCGACACCCACGTCGTCGGGGCCGCGGCCGGGGACCGCTCCCCGCCGCCCGCCGGCCCCACGACACGCGCACACCAACGACACGCCCTTCTTTCTCTTTCTCTCTCTCTCTCTCTCTCCCCCGTCTCCCTCCCGAGTTCTCCGGCTCTCGCGGCCGGCGGGGCCGGGCGGCGAACGAACGAGCGAGCGAACGAACGGGCACGCGGGCCCCGCCCGCGCACGCGCCGCGTCGCGGTGGGGGGGTGGGTGTGCGGAGGGAAGCGCGCGGCGGCGGCGGCGCCGCCGCGGGCCTCGCCCTCCGGGCTCCGTTAATGATCCTTCCGCAGGTTCACCTACGGAAACCTTGTTACGACTTTTACTTCCTCTAGATAGTCAAGTTCGACCGTCTTCTCAGCGCTCCGCCAGGGCCGTGGGCCGACCCCGGCGGGGCCGATCCGAGGGCCTCACTAAACCATCCAATCGGTAGTAGCGACGGGCGGTGTGTACAAAGGGCAGGGACTTAATCAACGCAAGCTTATGACCCGCACTTACTGGGAATTCCTCGTTCATGGGGAATAATTGCAATCCCCGATCCCCATCACGAATGGGGTTCAACGGGTTACCCGCGCCTGCCGGCGTAGGGTAGGCACACGCTGAGCCAGTCAGTGTAGCGCGCGTGCAGCCCCGGACATCTAAGGGCATCACAGACCTGTTATTGCTCAATCTCGGGTGGCTGAACGCCACTTGTCCCTCTAAGAAGTTGGGGGACGCCGACCGCTCGGGGGTCGCGTAACTAGTTAGCATGCCAGAGTCTCGTTCGTTATCGGAATTAACCAGACAAATCGCTCCACCAACTAAGAACGGCCATGCACCACCACCCACGGAATCGAGAAAGAGCTATCAATCTGTCAATCCTGTCCGTGTCCGGGCCGGGTGAGGTTTCCCGTGTTGAGTCAAATTAAGCCGCAGGCTCCACTCCTGGTGGTGCCCTTCCGTCAATTCCTTTAAGTTTCAGCTTTGCAACCATACTCCCCCCGGAACCCAAAGACTTTGGTTTCCCGGAAGCTGCCCGGCGGGTCATGGGAATAACGCCGCCGCATCGCCGGTCGGCATCGTTTATGGTCGGAACTACGACGGTATCTGATCGTCTTCGAACCTCCGACTTTCGTTCTTGATTAATGAAAACATTCTTGGCAAATGCTTTCGCTCTGGTCCGTCTTGCGCCGGTCCAAGAATTTCACCTCTAGCGGCGCAATACGAATGCCCCCGGCCGTCCCTCTTAATCATGGCCTCAGTTCCGAAAACCAACAAAATAGAACCGCGGTCCTATTCCATTATTCCTAGCTGCGGTATCCAGGCGGCTCGGGCCTGCTTTGAACACTCTAATTTTTTCAAAGTAAACGCTTCGGGCCCCGCGGGACACTCAGCTAAGAGCATCGAGGGGGCGCCGAGAGGCAAGGGGCGGGGACGGGCGGTGGCTCGCCTCGCGGCGGACCGCCCGCCCGCTCCCAAGATCCAACTACGAGCTTTTTAACTGCAGCAACTTTAATATACGCTATTGGAGCTGGAATTACCGCGGCTGCTGGCACCAGACTTGCCCTCCAATGGATCCTCGTTAAAGGATTTAAAGTGGACTCATTCCAATTACAGGGCCTCGAAAGAGTCCTGTATTGTTATTTTTCGTCACTACCTCCCCGGGTCGGGAGTGGGTAATTTGCGCGCCTGCTGCCTTCCTTGGATGTGGTAGCCGTTTCTCAGGCTCCCTCTCCGGAATCGAACCCTGATTCCCCGTCACCCGTGGTCACCATGGTAGGCACGGCGACTACCATCGAAAGTTGATAGGGCAGACGTTCGAATGGGTCGTCGCCGCCACGGGGGGCGTGCGATCGGCCCGAGGTTATCTAGAGTCACCAAAGCCGCCGGCGCCCGCCCCCCGGCCGGGGCCGGAGAGGGGCTGACCGGGTTGGTTTTGATCTGATAAATGCACGCATCCCCCCCGCGAAGGGGGTCAGCGCCCGTCGGCATGTATTAGCTCTAGAATTACCACAGTTATCCAAGTAGGAGAGGAGCGAGCGACCAAAGGAACCATAACTGATTTAATGAGCCATTCGCAGTTTCACTGTACCGGCCGTGCGTACTCAGACATGCATGGCTTAATCTTTGAGACAAGCATATGCTACTGGCAGGATCAACCAGGTAGGTAAGGTAGAGCGCGGCGAGGCCCCGACGCGGCCGGACGGCCGGCCGGGGGGCCTCGCGAGGACGGGCCCGGCGCCCCGCAAGCGAGGAGGACGACGGACGGACGGACGGGCCGCGGACGGGCGGACGGGAGGGAGCGAGCGGGCGCGGGGGCGGCGGCCGGGACCGGTGGGGCCGGGGCGGGGCGCGGCGAACCGGACGCCCCAACCACCCGCCCCCCACGCGACACGACCACCGGGGCCCCGCGCCACAGACCCGCGACGCTTCTTCGTCGCGCCCGCCCGCGAGGAGGCGGACGGCCCGACCCGCGCCCGGCGGCCGGGAGGGACCGGCGGCCACGCGCGCGCGCGCGCGGCCGGCGCCCGCGGGCGGCGGCGAGGCGGGGACGGCGCTCCGCCCGCCCCGCGGGGCGGCCCCGACGTCCGGGCGGCGAGCGAGAGGCGGACCGCGGTGCCCGGCCCGGGGACAGTCGCGCCGTGCGGCCGCAGCGCCCGCGCACCGGTCCGGTCGAGGGCCCGGGGCCCGGCCGAAGCCCGGCTCCGAGCCCCGCCGGCGGGCGCGGGCGCAGGGGTGGCACACGCCACACGACGGCCAAGGGAGGGCCGACCGAGGCCGGCCGGCGCGCCCGCCCCCGCCCGGGACGGGGGACCGCGACCGGGGCCGAGGCCCCGGCCCGGGCCCCACCCCCCGACCCGGGGAAAGGGCGAGCGACCGGCAAGGCGGAGGTCGACCCACGCCACACGTCGCACGAACGCCTGTCCGGCAGGGACCACCGGGCCGCGCTCGGGCGCACGCGCGCGCCGAACGGGGCGACGCCACGCGGGGAGGACGGGCTCTCCCCGACGCCGACGCCCGGGACGGACGCCTCGGGGAAGGGCCGCGGCAGGCCCGGGAAGCGAGGCGCACCCGGGGGACGCGCCGACCCGGTTCGGAAGAGCGGGCCGGGAGAAGACGAGAGACCACGGGCGAGGCCGGGGCGACGGGGAAGGCGCGAGAAAGGCGGCCGGCGGGGAAGGGGACGCCACGGGGACCCCTCGAGCGCGGCCGACCGCGGCCGGGACACACGCGCGGGGCCTCACCGCCGCCGGCGGCACCGCGCGGCACCCGGGGCGGCCGACCGGCCCTCGGCGATCCCCGCGGCTGCCCCCACCACCGCCGCCGCAGTCGCGGCCGGTCCCCCGGAACCGTCTCCTCCCCCGCACGCGCCGCAGGCCGACCCCCGGAACCCTCCGGGAAGCCCACCGGGCCCCACGCGGGGCGCCACCGACCCGGTCCCCAAGGCGCGCGCCGGGGGACGCGGACGCCGGGCCGATCAGTGGCCGGCGGCGGCGCCCCACGAGGCGGTGCCGGGTTCGGTCCCAGGCGGGGCCACCAACGGACGTGAAGCCGGTGAGCCGCTCGGGGGGAAGAAGAGGATCGGCGGGCGGCGGGCGGGGAAGAGGGCACAGACGGGCGAGGGCCGGGGACCGCGAGGGCAAGGGCACCCGGGAGCCCGCAGAGGCGGCGGCT
The DNA here is from genome assembly GCF_000001405.40 of Homo sapiens. NCBI lineage: Eukaryota > Metazoa > Chordata > Mammalia > Primates > Hominidae > Homo > Homo sapiens. Next base: position 482,491 of record NW_021160023.1, on the reverse strand, counting down.
CGGGGAGAAACCTCAGGCACGGCCGGGCCACCAGGAAAACACGGCCGCGGGATCCCACCGCCACAGACACGAGGGCGGTCCCGCGGCGCCCCGCCTGGGACGCCGGACGGCCCTCGGCCCCCACCGAGAACCGCCTCGCGAGCCCCGGGGCCCCGCCACCGGGGGCCCCGGAGCGACCGCAGCCACGAACCCGACACGCCCGCACCACCGTCGCTCGTGATTCTCGTCCATCCTCCGACCCGGTCCCGCTCCGGGAGACCGGCGCGCCCCCACCGTGGGACGCTTTCCCAGGGCCAGGCGGGCCCGACCCCGTGCCACGCAAACGCGGTCGTCGGCACCGGTCACGACTCGGCACGGGAGCGGGCGGAGAGCCGACTCGCGGCGGAGGGGGTCACGCGCCGGACAGAGCGCCGGGCGCGCACACCCACCGCCCGCCGGCCGCCGCGTCCCAACCCGCTGGGAACGCCGGGCCCGGCCCGGCGGGATCCTCCCCCGACTCGGAAGGGGGAGGCGCGGGCCACAGTAGGCGACGAGCCGCACTCGGCCACCACCGCGGTGGCCGGCGGAACCCTCGCTTCTCCCCCCCAACCCCGTCGAGGGGGAAGCGGAGGAGGGTCCTCTGCGAGCGGGTCGCTACGGCAGCGCTACCATAACGGAGGCAGAGACAGAGGCGGCGGCCCGGGGGATCCGGTACCCCCAAGGCACGCCTCTCAGATCGCTAGAGAAGGCTTTTCTCACCGAGGGTGGGTCACACTCCCCCCACCCGCCAGCCGCTCCTCCTCGGGCCCGCAGAGGCGCCGAGGGACGCCTGGGGAAGGGAGGGGGCCCTGCGGTACGAGGAAACACCTGCGCGCGGCCACCTCGAGCGTTCGCGTTCAGGGCGGGGGCCCGGCCGGTGCGCGCGTGCGCGCAACCCCACCAGGCCCCCCCGTCCACCCACCTCCTTCCTTCCGAGGCAGAGCGCCTCCGAAGTCAACCCACACACGACCGGTCGGAGGCAGAACGGCAGCCCCTCGGCGGCCGGCCGGCGCACGCGTCACACCGGCCCGAACCCACCGCGATCGCTCACACGGCCCGCGCGCACCCGCCAGAGGGGAGCACGGGACGTGCGCTCACCGAGAGCAGGCGGGCGCCCTTCCCCGCGTGGGAGGGGCGCGTCTCGTCTCGTCTCACTCAAACCGCCTCGAACCCCACACCGACGAGCTCCCTCAGGACCCACGCGCGGACACCGCGGCGGCGACCGGAGGAGGGGGCGCCGGGGGCGGGAACGACACACCACCGTTCGGCCTCGGGCACCTGAGGGACAACCCGGAGCGCTCCAGGAGCACCGCAAGGGCCCAGGCGGAGCCGACGCTCGCGCAAACCCCCCGAGAGGGCAGCACGACGGGCCGGCGGGACGGCACCCCCACCGCCGCGGAGGGGGGCCGCCCGCAAGTCGACAACCACTGGAGGCGACAGCGAGGGCTGTCTGCCGCGTCAGAGGACCCCGCCGGCCCGCCCCGCGACGCAGAAGGCGGCGGGCGGGACGGCGAGGTCGGGCCGGGGTCCGCACCCCACGCCTTCCCACACGCACCGCCGGCGGGCGGGGAGAGGAGAGACGAGGGGACCCCCGCGGGGCGGAGCGAGAAGGACGGTCCCGTTCGCCACGAACGTCCGCCCCTCGCCCGTCGCGGCTCGGACCCGGCCCGGGAGAGCACGACGTCACCACATCGATCACGAAGAGCCCCCCGGGAGCGGAGGCCGGCCGGCCGGCCAGCGAGCCGATCGGCTCCGGCCAACCCCCCACTCCGGGGAAGGGGCGGCGGACAACCCCGCGGAGACGAGAACGCCTGACACGCACGGCACGGAGCCAGCGGGGTGGGGTTGTCGCGGCCGCCCCGGGCGCCCGCAGCGGAGAGCGCACGGGGGCACGGTGGCCCTCGCCGCCTTCCCCGCCGCCCCCGGGTGGGTCAGAGACCCGGACCCGGGCCGGCACCGGGAGTCGGGACGCTCGGACGCGCGAGAGAACAGCAGGCCCGCGGGCCCCGGCAGGCGGCTCAAGCAGGAGCGCGGCCGGCTAGCCGGGTCACCGGTAGGCCAGAGCCCCGCGCGCATCCGGAGGCCCAACCTCTCCAGCGACAGGTCGCCAGAGGACAGCGTGTCAGCAATAACCCGGCGGCCCAAAATGCCGACTCGGAGCGAAAGATATACCTCCCCCGGGGCCGGGAGGTCGCGTCACCGACCACGCCGCCGGCCCAGGCGACGCGCGACACGGACACCTGTCCCCAAAAACGCCACCATCGCAGCCACACACGGAGCGCCCGGGGCCCTCTGGTCAACCCCAGGACACACGCGGGAGCAGCGCCGGGCCGGGGACGCCCTCCCGGCCGCCCGTGCCACACGCAGGGGGCCGGCCCGTGTCTCCAGAGCGGGAGCCGGAAGCATTTTCGGCCGGCCCCTCCTACGACCGGGACACACGAGGGACCGAAGGCCGGCCAGGCGCGACCTCTCGGGCCGCACGCGCGCTCAGGGAGCGCTCTCCGACTCCGCACGGGGACTCGCCAGAAAGGATCGCGGCAGAGGGACCGCGGCCCGGCCCGGGGACCGCTCCCCGGCACCCGGGGGACGGGGGCGGGACGGTCCCCGGCTCCCCACGGGGACTCGGAAACGAATTCGGCCGCCGCCTCAGACGGCCAGGATGAGCGCGGACCCGCGACCGGGCCGGGAAGGGCGTCCCCAGCCTCCCGCGCCACGCGCGGCGGGTCCCCGCGGGTCGCGGCTCGGGCCTCGGGAGCTACGGCGCGCTGGTCGACCGGCCCGGGCAGCCCCACGCCCGCCGCGGGCCCAGAAGCGCAGCGACAGCCTCTCCCCCACATAAACCTGCACGCCAGAGCTGTGACTCACAAGCGACGCGCCACAGCTCTGGCGCCACCGGGCCAGCCGGGCTGACGACCGCGGGCTTTCCGGAGCTCTGCCTAGCTCACAGCGGGGACGGTCCCCTCCCTCGGCAGCTGCCACCGCAGCTCCGGAAGCCGAGAGCACGATCTCAAAGCGGCCGCCAGATGGAGCCCGACAACCGCCGCGGACGTCAGCGAGACAGATCCGGCTGGCAGGGCGGCCCGTGGACCGCGAAAGCGAAACCGTGAGTCGAGAAGCTCTTCCCGAGGCCGAAAACGCAGCCCCTCTGCCCCAACCCCACACAAACGGTGCCCAAAACGCGTCTCTGCCTCGACCGCGACAGAGTCAGAAGACAACCCACGGCGCGTGGGTGTTTGGAGATGCCTCTCGGAAGCAGGGAGGGAGGGAGGGAGGGAGTGAGGGAGGGAGAAAGAACACACAAGGACTCGGTCGCGGGTCGCTGCAGACACACGGAGAGGCAGAATGGGTAGGCTCTTCCGGAATCCACGCAGAGACAGACGGGGGGAGGGGAGTGGGGAAAAGAGACAGATGGCGAAAGGGAAGGAGGGAGGGAAGGGAGCAGGGAGGGAGGGAGGGAGGGAGGGAGGAAGACAATGGAGAAAAGAGAGACAATTTAGAAAACGTAGATACACAAAGTAAACTTCTGAAACACTCCATTTTTTAAAAGACAGACGGGAAGGAAAGAAACACGAAAAAGAGAGAAAGAATGAGGAAAGAAACGAAGGAAAGAAGGGAAAAAGAAACAGAGAGGAAAGAAAAAAGAAGGAAACACAGGGAACGAAAGAGAAATAAAGCACGAAGGAAAAAAGGACAGAAAGAGAGAAAGAAGGAAAGGAAGAGAGGAAGAAAAACCTAAAGAAGGAGAGAAAGGAAGAAAGGAAGGAAGAAAAACACGAAGGAGAGGAAGAAAGAAAACAGAGATAACTACGTACGCTCGTTCATTTACACACATAAATACGACGCTTTTCATACGTAAAATAAACGTCTTTATCGACGATCCCTTCTTTATAGAGCGATGTGTATTTATTTGTATAACACAGACACCTACATCTATCATACAGAAGTCTATTTCCATACAACCGATACGTATTTACCATACGCAAGAGTATTCAATGCAGAGATACACGTTGTCGTTGTTTGCATATAAGCGTACAGAAACGTTTACATTAATACATATAAGTAAACGCGTGGAAACGAAAGAAATAAAAAAGCGAAATGAGTCAACAGGCCGGGCACGGTGGCTCACGCCCGTCATCCCAGCACTTCGAGAGGCCGAGGTGGGCGCATCACAGGAGGTCGGGAGTTGGAGACCAGCCTGAGCAACATGGAGAGACACGGCGTGCCTACTAAAAACACAAACATCAGCCAAGCCAGGCGTGGGGGTGCCTCCCTGTAATCCCCGCTAATCGGGAGGCTGAGGCAGGAGAAGCGCTCGAACCCGGGAGGCGGAAGGTGCGGTGAGCCAAGATCGCGCCATTGCACTCTAGCCGTGGAAACAAGAGTGAAACTCTGTCTCAAAAGGACGAAACAGAAAGAAAGAAAGAAAGAAAGATAGAAAGAAAGAAAGAAAGAAAGGAAAGAAAGAAAGAATGAATGAATGAAAGAAAAGAAAGCAAGAAAGAAAGAAAAAGAAAAGAAAGAAAGAAAAGAAAGCAAGAAAGAAAGCACGAAAGCAAGCAAGCAAGAAAGCAAGAAAACAAGGAAGCAAGAAAGCAAGCAAGAAAGAAACAAAAGAAAGAAAGCAAGAAAACAAGAAAGCACGAAAGCAAGCAAGCAAGAAAGCAAGAAAACAAGGAAGCAAGAAAGAAAGAAACAAAAGAAAGAAAGAAAACAAGAAAGCAAGAAAGCACGAAAGCAATCAAGCAAGAAAGCAAGCAGGAAAGAAACAAAAGAAAGAAAGAAATCGAGAAAACAAGAAAGCACGAAAGCAAGCAAGCAAGAAAGCAAGCAAGAAAGAAACAAAAGAAAGAAAGAAAGAAAGAAAACAGGAAAGCAAGAAAGCACGAAAGCAAGCAAGCAAGCAAGAAAGCAAGCATGAAAGAAACGAAAGAAAGAAAGAAAGCAAGAAAACGGGAAAGCAAGAAAGCACGAAAGCAAGCAAGCAAGCGAGCGAGAGAGAGAGAGAGAGAGAGAGAGAGAGAGAGAGAGAGAGAGGCTGGGCGCGGTGGCTCACGCCTGTCATCCCAGCACTTTGGGAGGCTAAGGCAGGCGGACCACCTGAGGTTGGGAGTGGGAGACCAGCCTGACCAACATGGAAAAACACCGTCTCTACTAAAAGTACAAACATCAGCCAGGCACGGTGGCCCATGCCTGTAATCCCAGCTAATCAGGAGGCTGAGGCAGGAGAATCGCTTGAACCTGGGAGGCGGAGGGTGCGGTGAGCCGAGATCGCACCATTGCCCTCTAGCCTGGGCAACAAGAGTGAAACTCTGTCTCAAAAAAAAAAAGAAGAAGAAGAAGAAGAAGAAGAAGAAGAAGAAGAAGAAGAAGAAGAAGAAAAAGAGAAAGTAATAAAGAAAGAAAGAAAGAAAAGGCAAGGCCAGGCAAGTCCAGGCAAGGCAAATCTACCTGCTTTCACTACATCTGGGGAGAATCAGGAAAGTCCCCAACAACAACAAGGCCTAAAGTGGAGCTGCCATCTGTCAAACCCGAGCGGAAGAGTCCACGCGGGTTAAAGACACGAAGAAAGACAAGGAAACCCCTGACCAAGGAGAAGAACAATCGGGCCCAGCCAGGGTCTGTCTCCCGGGGTTGTCTGGGCAACCAGGGAGGGCGGGCCTCCGAGACTCCGTCTCGAAACATCAATCATGATAATAACATAAAATGAAGTTAAAAAAAGAAATCACGCATAATTCCTAACGTGTTTGAGGCCTCGAAAGGCGAGAGGCGTACGTGTATGTCACGGTGGGGTTGTTCTGTTTTGTTGTTTTTTTCTTTTTTCTTTTCTTCTTTTTCCCCAGAAACTCACTTTTTAATTATTTTGTTGCGTTTCATTTTCATTTTCATTTTTTGGAGACGGAGTCTCGCTCTGTCGCCCAGGCTGGGTTGCAGTGGCGCGATCTCGGCTCACTGCAACCTCCGCCTCCCAGGTTCAAGCGATTCTCCTGCCTCAGCTCGGCCTCCCGAGTAGCTGGGATTACAGACAGTACAGCACAGCACAGCGCCCGGCTAATGTTGTGTATTGTGAGTAGAGACGGGGTTTCACCATACTGGCCCTGTTGGTCTGACCGCCTCTTGATCCACCGGCCTTGGCCTCCCAAAGTGAGGGGATGACAGGCTTGAGCCACCGCGCAGGGCCCATTTATTTATTTTATTTTATTTATTTATTTTAATTTATGTATGTATGTATGTATGTATGTATGTATGTATTTATTTATGTATTTATTTTTGAGACGGAGTTTCGCTCTTGTTGCTCAGACTGGAGTGCGATGGCGCAATCTCGGCTCACTGCAACCTCCGCTTCCCAGGTTCAAGCGATTCTCCTGCCTCAGCCTTCCTAGCAGCTGGGATTATAGGCATGTGCCACCGCGCCCGGCTAGTTTTGTATTTTCAATTGAGACGGGATTTCTCCATGTTGGTCGGGCTTGTCTCCAACTCCCGACTTCAGGTGATGCGTCCACCTCGGCATCCCAAAGTGACGGGATGACAGGCATGAGCCACCGCGCCCGGCGTATTGTATTGTATTGTATTGTATTGTATTGTATTGTATTGTATTGTATTGTATCGTATCGTATTGTATTGTATCCTATCGTATCCTATCGCATCCTATCGTATCGTATCTTATTGTATTGTAATGGGTTGTATTGACTTATTTTATTTAGTTAGTTACTTTTGTGTTATTTTATTTATTTATCTGTTTGTTCGTTTTTGCCTGATCAAAGGTCAATCAGACCCGGTCGTCAAAGTGGCGATTTCCTAGGCAACAAGGGAGGGAGGAACTTGGAGGTGGGGGCGGGGGCGGTGGAGAAGACACAGTTGCCCCAGGCTGTGCGCAGGCGGCCTGGTGCTCCCTTCCTCTGTGAGGCCTCCGTTTTCAGAGTAACAGTGACCGCTAGGTGATGCCCGACGCCTGCCAGTGAGCGTGTCAGCCCGGAATGAATTGGGATCCCCTGGGGAGGGGGTGGGGGGAAGGATGGAGGCTCCCACAGCACAGTGGGTCACCGCGCCCTCCAAGGCGATCCCCACAACTAATCGACCAGGGCTCCTGGGGGGACGCAGCCTAAGTCCCCCACCCATCGGATCATCTGGAACTTCCGTCCAGAGACGAGAGACCGACTGGGAATCCTCTCAGTCAAGGTCCAAACCGAAAAGAATCACTGGCACGGACACCAGGGCTAAGGCCATTTCTAAAAGACTGCTTTCTGTGTTTTGGGTGAATCCGTGTATTTCTGTATCACAAAATGACTGACTTTGAACGTTACGATTTTTCTCCTCCTTACGTGTACGGTCCTGTGATAGACAGACCAGGGGACTCCTCGGCTCAGAGTCCGTGAGGCCAGAAGCTGACGTCCCAAATTTCTATTTAGAATGAGTTTAAGCACGCCAGCCAAACGCTCTGCCGTGAAACTGTCTGTCGGGAAGACAAGCGGGGGAAGGGGAAAGGGGGGGTCCGGGCGCGGTAGGCTCGCGCCTGTCATCCCCGCACTTTTGGGAGGCCGAGGGCCGGTGGATCCCTCGGTCCAAGCCTTGGCAACACGGTGAAACCTCGTCTCAAAAAAAAAAAAAAAAAAAAAAAATTACAAAAACTAACTGGTTTCATAACCTGGACTCAAAGTTAATAAATAGATAAATAGGCCGGGGGCGGTGGCTCACGCCTGTCATCCCAGCACTTTGGGAGGCCGAGGTGGACGGATCACGGGGTCAGGAGATCGAGACCATCCTGGCTACCACAGTGAAACCCCATCTCTACTCAAAATACAAAAAGTTAGCCGGGCACGGTGGCGGGCGCCTGTAGTCCCAGCTACTTGGGAGGCTGAGGCAGGAGAATGGCGTGAACCCGGGAGGCGGAGCTTGCAGTGAGCCGAGATCACGCCGCTGCACTCCAGCCTGGGCAGCAGAGCGAGAGTCTGTCTCGAAAATAAATAAATAAGTAAATAAATAAATAAATAAATAAATGTAAATAAATAAATAGATTAAAATGGAAAACTAAAAAAAAGTAAAATAATTAAAAAAATAAATAAATAAACGTAGCCGGCCAGTCACGATGGCTCACGCCTGTCACCCCAGCACTTTGGGAGGCCGGGGCGGGCAGATCCACTGGGGTCGCCAGTTCGAGACCAGCCTGACCCACATGGAGAAATGCCGTCTCTACTAACAATACAAAATCAGCTGGGTGTGGTGGCTCCTCCCTGTAATCCCAGCTACTCAGGAGGCTGAGGCAGGAGAATCGCTTGAACGCGGGAGGTGGAGGTTGCGGTGAGCCGAGATGGTGCCACTGCACTCCAGCGTGGGCACCAAGAGTGAAACTCCGTCCGAAGGGAAAAAAAAAAATTAATTAAGTGCTGTATTCTGTTATTTTTGCTTCCTACCCTGAGAAGAACATAATACAGCTGTTGTCTTTCTGCCTGCCTGCCTGCCTGCCTGCCTGTGGCAGGGCCTCATTCTGTCTTTCGCCCAGACTGGAGCACAGTGACACAACTATGGCTCACTCACTGCAACCTCAACCTCCCCAGGGTTAGGCGATTCCTCGAGGGATCCTACGGCCTCGGCCTCCCAAAGTGTTGGGGTTACAGGCGTGAGCCACCAGCACCCGGCCTGAGTTAATACATCTGGTCTCACTACGTCTTAACCACGCACCCACGAAGAACTCAAGTCAAGAGAGAGTCGGCAAGAGACTCTCAGCATTCTCTCCCGAAAGCACGTGTGTCCCGAGCTCCTGTGGTTTCAGGTGGCCGCGCGTAGAGGAGAGATTTCCAATGTTTCCGGAGAGGTGCGAGCCACAGTCACTCGGGGCATCCGAGCATGAGATGGGGTTTCTGACAGCGACTGAAGGGCCAGGAAGGGCCAGAATCTGCCAAGGCCCGGCGTTCCAGGGTGGGGCCGAGGGAACCCAAGGTAGAGGGAGTCAGCGGTCCGCACGGAGAGAGCTCCAGCCCTAGGCCCCACTGTGCAGACCGAATCAGAAGGAAGAGAGTCCTTCGTCCTACCTGCCACACCCCTCACATCCCCCCACTGAACTTGGGAGTGGATCCGTGTTCTAAACACGAGGTGACTCTCGGTTTGCAATGGATCACAAGGCGCCGGGCTTTCCAGAGTCAGCAGGATAAAGAAGTCATTCTGTCTCGGACTCCCCCATCCCCCGGTAACGGCGGCTGGTGCCTTTAAATGAGCCGAGGCTGGCCGGGCCGGAGCCGCTATGGGGGGGGGGGGGGTGCCTGTGGCACTGCAGAAAGTGGGCCTGAGCCTCGAGGATGGCGGTGCTGCAGGGACCCGTCCAGGCTGCTATATGGCAAGCACTAAACCACTATGCCTACCGAGATGCGGTTTCCCCCGCAGAACGCCTTTATGCAGAAGTACACTCAGAAGAAGCCTTGTTCTTACTGGCGACCTGTTCTTACCGCTCAGGAAAGGCCTATAAAACATATAGACTCTTGAAAGGACACAGTTGTACTACCCCGCAATGCAAATGCCTGCTTGCGAAATGTTGTGTTGATCTCAGCAAGCTTGCAGAAGGGGATCAAATCTTATCGGGTGGAGTGTTTCATAAGCAGAAAAGCCACGATGATATTATCGTTCCTGAGTTTGGTGATTCAGCTCGCTTTCCCCTTCCATCGTCGGGACATGTATATTGCAAGACAGATCGGCTTACCAAAGGATCAGAATGTGACCAAAAGAGCCTTCGTTGAAATCCTTTCCTCTGGTGTCCCTTTGAATCATGATGTGAAATAGGGGGGAAAAGCCAGATCCTGACCAAACATTTTGATTCACCTCTCTAGAGAGCTTTAGCAACTGCCTGTCCAAGTGTTGCGCCACAACACTTGGACCTCGTCCTAGTTTATGTCACAGACAGCCCGAGACCGTTCTTACGGAAACACCCCAGGACACCGTCGAATGAAACGGATGGAATTTAGAATCTTCCAATTCAAAGTACTCCTTGAATACAGACTCCCCAGTGTCTTCTATCGATTCAGCTGTCCTTTCACCTGATACTGTCCCACTGGGAACAGGAACTTCCATATGATCTAAACAGGTTCAACATAAACCAAAAACTGGTCGAAGTTTATTAGGAGGACCAGCAGCTGTTAGTCCATTAACCCCAAGTGTTGGCATTTTGCCATTAGAAACCCCAAGTCCCGGAGACGGACCCTATTGACAAAACTGCACTGGTATGAGACACCGTCTGTCATTGACGTGCCATCCACCGGAGCCCCTTCAAAAAAGCCTGTTGCCAGAATCGGCCAAACCGGAACACCGTCTGTCTTCTCGCAGAGGGGAAAGAGCCGAAAGGTAACTCCAGTCCTTGCAAAAACACAAAGTTCTGGTCCGCCGACAAGGGCAACACCTCAGGTATTGAGCCCCACTATGGCATCTCCCCCAAATGCACCGCCTCGAAGAAATTCACGACTCTTGACTAGTGACAGCTCCACAACCGAGGAGAATAGGAGAAAATTAAAAATGAAGTTTCCACCTAAAATCCCAAACAGAAGAACCAAAAGTAAAACTAATAAAGGAGCAATAACTCCACCGAACATAAGTGATAGCCTGGAAGTGACAAAATTGGACTCTTCCGTCATTTCAGAAGGGAAAATAGCCACAATCGCGCCTCAGATTCAGGCTTTTAATCTACAAAAAGCAGCAGCGGAAGGCTTGATGAGCCTTCTTCGTGAAAGGGGGAAAGGTTATTTAGCTTTGTGTTCTTACCACGGCAAAGAAGCTATCAGCATCTTGAGCCATCTAGCTTCTCACCACTGCAATACCGGTTGGGTACTGTGCCAAATCGGAAGGGCCTATTGTAAACTTTCAGAGTCCACGCAAGCTGAAAGACAATTCTCAGAGGTTAGGAGGATTGAGAATTACAGAGTCGAAGGCATGGAGATCTACTCTACAACACTTTGGCATCCTCCGAAAGAGGTTGCTCTTTCAGTTCTGTCCAAAGACTTCACAGACATGGATAAAAATTCGCCAGCCAGAGGCCTGGTGTGCTGCAGGGAACTGTTTCGGTCTGCAACGGGAACACGATATTGCGATTCAATTCTTCCAGAGAACTCTCGAAGTGGATCCAAATGATGCTTATGCCTATAGCGCATTAGGGCGTGAGCTTGTCTTCACTGAAGAACTGGACAAAGCATTAGCTTGTTTTCGAAATGCTATCAGGGTCAATCCTAGACATTGTAAGGCATGGTAAGTGCTAATGAAGCGTAAAGACAAAGCCCTATGGATGGTGCCGGTACTCGCTAATTTTTCTGGTTAGATAGCTCTTTATTGTCACGAATTTGGTGAAAAATACTTAGGGATGGTACCTACTGCTGAATAACTTCTAACTAAGATGTTTCCTTACGAAACGTATGTCTTGAACAAACTCTGAAGTGAACTCATGATCGTAGAATACCAGATCCTTATACTCAACAGTTTCAGTCTTCTAGCAAACTTTTGCAGACGCTGTAGTTGTCTTTGGTTTGTGTGTGTGTTTCTTTAGTTGTGTTCCTTGATTTGTTACTTTTTCTTCGAGCACCGAAGTGGTGATGGGGACAAGAAGTGCTTGGGAGACTGGAAAGGAATAGCATAGTTCACTTATTGGATAATAGAAAAATACATGGAAACAATTCACTAGCTGCTGCTTTTTGACAGTGTTCCAGTTTACGGAGTTACTATGAAGAACTTCACGTACCCTTTAATTTAGCAGTCTCTCTGTTTTACTCTTTTGTACTCGTGTATAAGTAGGCACATAGGAAATTACTACCTAGGTCATATTGTTATCAACTGAATAAGATAGGAAAAAGTGTGGTCCTACTTCTGCCTCAACACCATCCTCACCGTTGACATTTATTGCGTTTCTCTGGACTGACTTCATAGTTTAAACGTCAAGAGAAGGCCGGGCTCAGTGGCTCACGCCTGTCATCCCAGCACTTTGGGAGGCCGAGGCGGGCGGGTCACGAGGTCAAGAGATCGAGACCATCCGGGCCGACACGGTGAAACCCCGTCTCTATTAAAAGTATAAAGATTAGCTGGGCGTGGTGGCGGGCACCTGTAGTCCCAGCTACTCGGGAGGCTGAGGCAGGAGAATCGCTTGAACCCAGGGAGGTGGCGGTTGCAGTGAGCCGAGATCACACCATCGCACTCCAGCCTGGGCGACAGAGCGAGACGCCGTCTCAAGAGAAATAAATTAAAAAAAATAAATACATACATAAGTAAATATCAAGAGAAAGTATGATTCTGAAGTCATAACCCTGTGGTAGTTATTTTGTCAGATACGGTGATCTTTGGGGTGACTTATTACAGCAGTGGAGTTCTATCATTTGATTTGCTTCTAAATCTGAAGCATTATATTACTGAAACACTTTTTGATTTGCGAATATGTTGTTTAATGGATCATATCTCATTTTGCTGTAGTAGTTACATTGCCCGAAAGATGGCCAAAAAGATAGTGCCAGCTACTGCTGACCAACGTAACAATCAACTTGCCAATACTGCCTTCTCTTCCGATAGCTACGTTCTCCGTCCTATTTTAAGAACTCAGTTCTTCATAAGACTTGTGTGGTTTTCGATTTTTTCCCAAGTCTGGTTGATCCTTGTGTTGTTATTTTTTTAAATGTGTATCGTCTGTTCAGCTATTTTGCAGGAGTCGCATTCTTAAAAAAATCTTAACCCTATCAAAAATTGTGTTTGTTTAAAGGAGGATTATTCAGATTGGCCAGCTTTTACTAGGAAGAGTGTAAATGCTGACGTATTTAGGTAGCTCTAAATACTGAGCAACTTTATTCTAACCACAAAATAGATAGCCTTTCTTTTGTCTTCACTTTCACTATCATTAGCACAGTGTTTAATACCGTTTCTTCATCTATAACACAATTATAATGATATAGGAAGCCACTCAAATAAGGCAGACATGTTGCGTTGCGCTTAAAAAAAAAAAAAAAAAGAAGTCTCTCTGTGGCACGGAATGAGGTGTGGCTCGAATCTAGAATCTCCAGTGAAAACCAATGAAAGAGGGTGAAACCCCGTGTCTACCAAAAAAAAAAAAAAAAAAAAAAAAAAAAAAAAAAAAAAAAAAATGAGCCGGCCATGGTGGCGCTGAAACAGGAAAATCACTTGAACCCAGGAGGCAAAGGTTCCAGTGAGCTGAAATCACGCCACTGCACTCCAGCCTGGGGGACAGAGCAAGACTCCATCTCAGAAACAAACAAACACACAAAGCCAGTCAAGGTGTTTAATTCGACGGTGTCAGGCTCAGGTCTCTTGACAGGATACATCCAGCACCCGGGGGAAACGTCGATGGGTGGGGTGGAATCTATTTTGTGGCCTCAAGGGAGGGTTTGAGAGGTAGTCCCGCAAGCGGTGATGGCCTAAGGAAGCCCCTCCGCCCAAGAAGCGATATTCATTTCTAGCCTGTAGCCACCCAAGAGGGAGAATCGGGCTCGCCACAGACCCCACAACCCCCAACCCACCCCACCCCCACCCCTCCCACCTCGTGAAATGGGCTCTCGCTCCGTCAGGCTCTAGTCACACCGTGTGGTTTTGGAACCTCCAGCGTGTGTGCGTGGGTTGCGTGGTGGGGTGGGGCCGGCTGTGGACAGAGGAGGGGATAAAGCGGCGGTGTCCCGCGGGTGCCCGGGACGTGGGGCGTGGGGCGTGGGTGGGGTGGCCAGAGCCTTGGGAACTCGTCGCCTGTCGGGACGTCTCCCCTCCTGGTCCCCTCTCTGACCTACGCTCCACATCTTCGCCGTTCAGTGGGGACCTTGTGGGTGGAAGTCACCATCCCTTTGGACTTTAGCCGACGAAGGCCGGGCTCCCAAGAGTCTCCCCGGAGGCGGGGCCTTGGGCAGGCTCACAAGGATGCTGACGGTGACGGTTGGTGACGGTGATGTACTTCGGAGGCCTCGGGCCAATGCAGAGGTATCCATTTGACCTCGGTGGGACAGGTCAGCTTTGCGGAGTCCCGTGCGTCCTTCCAGAGACTCATCCAGCGCTAGCAAGCATGGTCCCGAGGATCCCAGCTCCCAGCAGAGGCACTTTTGGTCACACAGGATCCTGGGCAGGAAAGTTCTCAGCAGGCTTAGGCCTCCTAGCCAAAAAGCCAAAACCACTTCTGGGATTTTTTTCAAAGAGCCAGTGGTTCCACAAGGGGCCGTGGGTAGTTGTGGAAATGGAGAGAAGTGTTTGCACGTACATATTTGAGACAGGACGGACAGGGCTCGGTCACAGATCACTTAGGACACGGGCAGATGCACATTGAGAAAACTCTTCCGGCATCCTAGGGGAACAGAGGTACGATTTTTCGAGACAGTCGAGGGAGAAGCCACCCCAGATTTTAGGATTGGATCTTTATTCATATGTAGTTTCTATGAGGTATCCAAGTCCAGAAATCAACTCGCCAGTTCTGTACAGCATTCTGTAGGGAGATCAAATCTGGGATGTCAGAAGTGAAGAATTCAGGCCTTGGTAAGGGATTAGATTAGATGTACTTGAGCTTCTTTTGCAAAAAAAGAGAGGGCGGGGGATAGCGAGAGCCAGAGACCGAGACAGACAGACGGACAGACAGACAGAGAGAGAGAGAGAGAGAGAGAGACAGAGAGACAGAGACAGAGACAGACAGAGAGAGACAACGATACACAGAGAGAGAAAGACAGAAAGAGAGAGAGAGACAGATAAAGAGACAGACGGAGAGAGACAGATAAAGAGACAGACGGAGAAAGACAGAGATGGACAGAGACAGAGAGAAACAGAAAGAGAGAGAAACAGACAGGAAGGGAGAGAGACAGGCAGAGAGAGAGAGACAAACAGACAGGCAGACAGACAGGCAGAGAAAGAGAGTAAGACAGAAGGCAGACACACACACACACACACACACACATACACACACACACACACACCCCCACAGAGAGAGAGAGACAGAGAGAGAGACAGAGACAGACAGAGAGACAGAGAGAAAGAGACAGAGAGAGAAAGACAGACAGAGAGAAACAGACAGAAAGAGAGACACAGACAGAGACAGAGAAACAGCCGACAGGGGGGAGAGAGAGAGAGAGACAGACAGAGAGAGACAGACAGACAGACAGGCAGAGAAAGACAGTAAGACAGAAGACAGACACACAGAGAGAGAGAGAGAGACAGAGACAGAAAGAAAGACAAAGACAGAGAGAGAGAGAGAGAGAGAAACAGACAGGGGGAGAGAGAGAGAGAGACAGACAGACAGGGAGAGAGAGAGAGAGAGACTAAGACAGAAGACAGACACAGTGAGAGAGACAGAGACAGAGAGAAGGAAAGACAAAGACAGACAGACAAAGAGACAGACAGAGAAAGACAGAGACGGACAGAGAGACAGAGAGAAACAGAAAGAGAGAGAGAGACACACAGAGAGAGAGAGTGAGAGAGACAGGCAGGCAGAGAGAGAGAGTAAGACAGAAGACAGAGTGAGAGAGACAGGCAGAGAGAGACAGAGAGAAGGAAAGAGAGAGACAGTCAGAGAAAGACAGAGACGGAGAGAGAGAAACAGAAAGAGAGAGAGAGACAGAGACAGAGAGAAACATACAGACAGGGAGAGAGAGAGAGAGAGACCGACAGACAGACAGAGAAAGGGAGTAAGACAGAAGACAGACACAGTGAGAGAGACAGGCAGAGAGAGAGAGAGAGAGAGAGGCAGAGAGAGAGAAACAGACAGGCAGAGAGAGAGAGACACAGAGAGAGAGAGAGAGAGAAGACAGACAGAGAAAGAGAGAGACAGAGACAGACAGAGAGACAGAGAGAGGGGGAGGAAGGGCGTGCTCAAGAAATAATCACACATATTTTATAATGCTTTTGATCCCATAAACGGTGGCCGGGGTATACTTTGAAAACAACGACAACGACAACAACAACGACAACGACAACAGCAACGACGACAACAACAACAACAACAACAGCAACAAGAGCAGCAGCAGCATTCGCCTACGGATTTCTAGAAAATAAGATGTCATGATGAAGGATAGTAAACATCAACCGGCTCTCACTGCACGTTGAGAGAGTCACAAAAGCGCTAGTTCACAACAGGAAAAAACGGCAGCTAACGTGTCTTGGGGAAAATAGACGTCTTCCTGAAAACTGGGGATTTCTACTTCACCTGAAAAGAAAGACATACGAGAAAGGAAAAACACGAACAAAACAAAACAGAACGAAACAAAACAAGCCAACAAACACGGGCCAAGGCGCCGTCCCTGGAAATCTTAAGTGAGCAAAGTTATTAGTTTTCAGAAAGCGTTTCTATTTTGGGCAAGTACTGAGAAGGCCCAGACTAGAGCCGTGGCGCCCTTCGCATTGTGAAACTCTGCTGGCCGGAGGGCGGAGAAACTAAAACATCGTGATAAAAGGTGACCGAGACCCAGCCAGGGTGAAGCTTTCCTAGGGAGGGAGGCCTGAGGCGGGAAGCAGCGGGGGGAAAAGCCTCACAACTGCAGACCCGCCCGCTTGCCCACGCGGGTCAAGGGGCTATGCCATCGGCCCAAGCTGCCTCCGGGGAAGTGGGACCGTGCCGCCCCCATCTTCAAAAACGGTGGCCCCCGAGTGAGGCCTGACGCCCACCGATGCAAATGTCAGCCTGGCAAGAATGAGATCGCCGGCAAGGGGTGGGGGAAGGGGAGAGAAGACGGAGGCACACCGGGGTGGCTCTGGAAGGTTTCCAAGCAGGGTGTTGGGAGGCGGGGGGGGGGGGGGCGGTTTGGGGGAAACCCACCTAACCGACTCACTAAATTAAGGTGAAGGGACGTGGGTAGTGGGGGGAGCCGGGGGGCAACTTGAAAATTAAACTGACCCTTCCCAAAGCCCAAGTAGAAGAGTCTAGGCGCCAAAACACAAAGAAAAGTAAAGCGCCGATCAAAGAACAATAGGGCCCCCGCCAGGGCGGAGGTTCCCTAGGCGAGGTTCCCTAGGCAACGAGGGAGAGAGGGAGGGGCCTCCAGAAGGGAGAGAGAGAAACCCGTTGCCCCAGGCTCGGTGAAGTCGGCGAGACCTCCCTCCGTGTCACGTCGACTTTCAATAACAGTGGCCGCTAGGTGATGCCCGAAGACAACCGATGCCTGCCTGCAAATGTCCGTCAGCAGGGAAAAGAATTAATGAATTAATTAATTTCCGTATTTATTTAGAGACCGAGTCTCACTCACTCTACAGCCTGGGCCGTAGTGCAGTGGCGCGATCTCGGCTCCCTGCAGCCTCCGCTTCCCTGGTTCAAGCGATTCTCCCGCCTCAGCCTCCCGAGGAGCTGGCATTACAGGGGCCTGCCCCACCGCTCCCGACTCAGCTTTGTATTTTTAGTAGAGACGGGGTTTCGCCGTGTTGCGTCCGGCCTTAACAGTTTATGTTGAAGTCGAGGAGCTTATCGGGGAAATAGGAGAAGTACGGACGCCACACGTGACCGAGAGAAAAGTCTGAAAATGCCCCTCGCATCCAAGCGGGGACCCGGCCTCGACCTCCCGAAATCGTACACCGAGTGGGGAAGCCCAGCAAGGCCCGCCTGTCTAGATTCCTCTCGGCCTCTCTAAGCACCGAAGCACGCGCTTCTCACTCTCGTGGAAGGGGCAGGGCCCTACCCGGCACGGGGGTGTCTGACAGACTGACAGAGAAAGAGACAGACATAGAAAGACAGAGATGGACAGCGAGAGATAGAGAGAAACAGACAGAAAGAGAAAGAGAGAGAGACAGAGACAGAGACAGAGAGAGAGAGACAGACAGACAGACAGGGAGGGAGAAAGACAAACAGAGAGAGAGAGAGAGAGAGAGAGAGACAGACAGACAGACAGACAGACAGAGAAACAGACAGAAAGAGAGAGAGAGACGGAGAGAGAGTGAGTGAGAGGGAGAGAGAGAGACATGGAGGGAGAGAGACAGACAGAGAGAGAAACAGACAGAAAGAGAGAGAGAGACGGAGAGAGAGTGAGTGAGAGAGAGAGAGAGAGACATGGAGGGAGAGAGACAGACAGAGAGAGAAACAGACAGAAAGAGAGAGAGACGGAGAGAGAGTGAGTGAGAGAGAGAGAGAGACATGGAGGGAGAGAGACAGACAGACAGAGAGGCAGGCAGAGAAAGAGAGTAAGACAGAAGACAGACACAGTGAGAGAGACAGGCAGAGAGAGAGAGAGACAGAGACAGAGAGAGAGAAAGAGAAAGAGACAGACAGAGATGGACAGAGAGACAGAGACAGAGAGAGAAACAGACAGACAGGGAGGGAGGGACGGAGACAGGCAGAGAGAGAGAGACAGGCAGACAGCCAGAGAAAGAGAGTAAGACAGAAGATAGGCACAGAAAGAGAGACAGACACAGAGAGAGACAGAGAGACAGAGAAAAAGAAAGAGAGAGACAGACAGACAGAGAAAGAGACAGACAGAGAGAGAGAGAGGCAGAGAGAGAAACAGACAGACAGGAGAGAGAGAGAAACAGAAAGGGAGGGAGAGAGAGGGAGAGACAGACAGACAGACGGACAGGCAGAGAAGGAGAGTAAGACAGAAGACAGACACACACAGTGAGAGAGACAGACAGAGAGAGAGAGAGAGAGAGAGAGAGAGAGAGAGAGAGGCAGAGACAGAGACAGAGAGAAAGAGAGAGACAGACATAGAAAGACAGAGATGGACAGAGAGACAGAGAGAAACACCCAGAAAGAGAGAGAGAGACAGAGAAAGAGAAAGGGAGGGAGAGAGAGAGAGAGAGAGAGAGAGAGAGACAGACACACAGACAGGCAGGCAGGCAAGGAAACAGAGTAAGACAGAAGATAGGAACAGAGAGAGAGAGAGAGAGACAGAGAGACGCAGAAAAAGAAAGAGAGAGGCAGACAGACAGAGAAAGACAGAGACAGACAGAGAGAAACAGGCAGAAAGAGAGAGAGAGAGAGAAAAACAGACAGGAAAGGAGAGAGAGAGAGAGACAGAGAGAGAAAGAGAATAAGACAGAAGACAGACACAGTGAGAGAGGCAGAGAGAGAGAGAGAGAGAGAGAGACAGAGACAGAGACAGAGAGAAAGAGACAGACAGACAGAGAAAGAGACAGACAGAGAAAGACAGAGAGAGAAAGAGAGAAACAGGCAGAGAGAGAGAGAGCTAGCGAGAGAGAAACAGAAAGGTAGGGAGAGAGAGAGAGAGACAGACAGACAGATGGACAGGCAGAGAAGGAGAGTAAGACAGAAGACAGACACAGTGAGAGAGACAAGGAGAGAGAGAGAGAGAGAGACAGAGACAGAGACAGAGACAGACGACAGAAAGAAAGAGAGAGACAGACAGACAGAAAAAGACAGAGACGGACAGAGAGAGACAGAGAAACAGAGAGAAAGAGAGAAAGACAGAGAGAGCGAGAGAGGGAGAGAGAGAGAAACAGAAAGGCAGGGAGAGAGACAGAGAGAGACAGACAGATAGACAGGCAGAGAAAGAGAGTAAGACAGAAGATAGGCACAGAGAGAGAGACAGAGAGACACAGAAAGAGAAAGAGAGAGGCAGACAGACAGAGAAAGGGACAGACAGAGAAAGACAGAGACAGAGAGAGAGAGAGAGAGAGAGAGAGAGAAACAGACAGAAAGAGAGAGGGACAGGGAGAGAGAGAGACAGACAGACAGACGGACAGGCAGAGAAGGAGAGTAAGACAAAAGATACACACAGAGAGGGAGAGACAGAGAGAGAGAGAGACAGAGACAGAGACAGAGAGAATGAAACAGACAGACAGAGAGAGACAGTGAGAAACAGACAGAAAGAGAGGGAGACAGAGAGAAACAGACAGGGAGGGGGGAGAGAGAGAGAGAGAGAGAGAAGCAGAAAGGGAGGGAGAGACAGAGAGAGACAGACAGACAGGCAGAGAAAGAGAGTAAGACAGAAGATAGGCACAGAGAGAGAGAGAGACAGACAGAGAGACACAGAAAAAGAAAGAGAGGGGCAGACAGACAGAGAAAGAGACAGATAGAGAAAGAGAGAGGCAGACAGAGAGAGACAGAAACAGACAGAAAGAGAGAGAGAGAGAAACAGACAGGGAGGGAGTGAGAGAGAGACAGACGGGGAGAGAAAGAGAGTAAGATAGAAGACAGACACAGTGAGACAGGCAGAGAGGGAGAGAGAGGGACAAAGACAGAGACAGAAAGAAAGAAAGAGACAGACAGACAGACAGACAGACAGAGAAAGAGACACAGAGAGAAAGACAGAGACGAACAGAGAGAAACAGACAGAGAGAAGGCCCTAGCCCAGTAGCAATACAGTGCCTTTTCTTTCATTTTCTCTTTCTTTTCTTTTCTTTTTTTCTTTCTTGTATATCTGTATGTATGTATGTATGTATGTATGTATGTATGTATGTATGTGTGTATTTATTTATGTACGTATTTATCTGGAGACCGGGTCTCACTCTGTCGCCCAGGCTGTAGTGCAGTGGTGCGATCTTGGGTCAC
This sequence comes from Homo sapiens, assembly GCF_000001405.40. Taxonomy (NCBI): domain Eukaryota; kingdom Metazoa; phylum Chordata; class Mammalia; order Primates; family Hominidae; genus Homo; species Homo sapiens. The sequence goes on along the minus strand of NW_021160023.1, from coordinate 462,051 downwards.
TGCAGCCTCCGCCTGCCAGGTTCAAGCAATTCTTCCACCCCAGCCTCCCGAGTAGCTGGGGTTACAGGTGCCTGCCCCACGGCGCCTGACTCCATTTCGTATTTTCAGTAGAGACGGGGGTTTCACCACGTTGGCCGGGCTGGTCTCGAACTCCTGACCTCGGGATGACAGACGTGAGCCACTGCGTTCAGTGTACAGTACCATTTCTTAGAAATCACTCCTCACGGGAACACACACTTATGGGTGACGTGTAGAGATTTTAGTTAGTTAGTTAGTTAGTTAGTTATTATGTGCGCGGGGAGGTGGGGGGACGGAGTTTGGCTCTTGCTGCCCAGGCTACAGTGCAATGGCCTAGGGGACTCAAGGAGTCAACCTATGGCAGAGAGGACACGTCATTCTGAGCGTAAGGGCCGCAGCGAAAGGTGGCAGGGCCCGCGCTTTTAAAGGCTGAAATCCCGGCGGCTCAGGCCTGTCGTTTCCAGCACTTTGGGAGGCCCAGGAAGGTGGATCATTTGTGGTCAGGAGTTCGAGACCAGCGTGGCCAACGTGGAGAAACCCCGTCTCTACTAAAAATAGAACGATGAGCCGGCCGTCATGGTGCGCACCTGTAATCCCAGCTACCGAAGAAGAATCACTGGAACCCGGGAAGCAGAGGTTTCAGTGAGCCGAGAGAGCGCCACCGCACCGCAGCCTGGGTGACAGAGCGAGAGAGACTCAGTCCAAAAAAAAAGAAAGAAAAGAAGAAGAAGAAAAAAAGAACGGGCCCAAATACTGCATTGTCGCTGAACGTTCTCCCAAAAGGCCAGAAACCCCCTGACTCAGGTCAAGGAGGTGGTGGTTGGTTTTACTTCTCTTTCTCTCTCTCTCTCTCTCTCTCTCTCTCTCTCTCTCTCTCTCTCTCTCCCCCCCCCTCTCCCCCCTCTCTCCCCGTCTCTCTCTCTCTCTCCTCTCTTCTCCCCCCCGAACTTTTATTTGTCGTTCAAGCATACATGAGCAAGACTGTGACATAGGTAAACTTGTGACGGGGGTGTTCAGTGTGCAGATGATTTCATCACCCGGGTAGTCAGTGCTGTGTCCGACAGTATTCGTGTTTTGTTTTCTTCCTGAAGCTGTCTCTCCTTCCACCCCTCCTCCCTCAAGCAGGCTTCCGCGTCCCCGGTCCCCCTCGTTCTGCCCATGCAAGAACTGTCATCTGTAAGTTCCCACTTCTAGATGAGAACACGCGGTATTTAGCCGATCTTTGCTTTCATCTTCGGTGGTGGCGGTGAAAGAGGCATGACACTAAATCGACCCTTAGGACGCCGTTTATGTTGAAGTCGAGGAGCTTATCGGGGAAATAGGAGAAGTACGGACGCCACACGTGACCGAGAGAAAAGTCTGAAAATGCCCCTCGCATCCAAGCGGGGACCCGGCCTCGACCTCCCGAAATCATACACCGAGTGGGGAAGCCCAGCAAGGCCCGCCTGTCTAGATTCCTCTCGGCCTCTCTAAGCACCGAAGCACGCGCTTCTCACTTTCGTGGAAGGGGCAGGGCCCTACCCGGCACGGGGGTGTCTGACAGACTGACAGAGAAAGAGACAGACATAGAAAGACAGAGATGGACAGCGAGAGATAGAGAGAAACAGACAGACAGGGAGAGAGAGAGAGAGAGAGAGAGAGAGAGAAACAGACAGGGAGGGAGAAAGACAAATAGAGAGAGAGACAGACAGACACACAGAAAGACAGAGACAGAGAGAAACAGACAGAAAGAGAGAGAGACGGAGAGACAGTGAGTGAGAGAGAGAGAGAGAGAGACATGGAGGGAGAGAGACAGACAGACAGACAGAGAGGCAGGCAGAGAAAGAGAGTAAGACAGAAGACCGACACAGTGAGAGAGAAAGGCAGAGAGAGAGAGAGAGAGAGAGAGAGAGAGAGAGAGAGAGAGAGACAGAGAGAGACAGAGAGAGACAGAGAGAAAGAAAGAGAGAGAAAGAGAAAGAGACAGACAGAAATGGACAGAGAGAGAAACAGACAGACAGGGAGGGAGGGACGGAGACAGGCAGAGAGAGAGAGAGAGAGAGAGAGAGAGAGAGACAGGCAGTCAGCCAGAGAAAGAGAGTAAGACAGAAGATAGGCACAGACAGAGAGACAGGCACAGAGAGAGACAGAGAGACAGAGAAAAAGAAAGAGAGAGACAGACAGACAGAGAAAGAGACAGACAGAGAGAGAAAGAGAGAAACAGACAGAAAGAGAGAGAGAGAGAGAGAGAAACAGAAAGGGAGGGAGAGAGAGGGAGAGACAGACAGACAGACGGACAGGCAGAGAAGGAGAGTAAGACAGAAGACAGACACACACAGTGAGAGAGACAGACAGAGAGAGAGAGAGAGAGAGAGGCAGAGACAGAGACACACACACAGTCCTGAAAGACGACGAGAGAGAGAGAGAGAGGCCGAGACCGAGACCGGGAGAAAGAGAGAGACCGACCGAGAAAGACCGAGATGGACCGAGAGACCGAGAGAAACCGATAGAAAGAGAGAGACCGAGAGAGAGAGAGGCAGAGGCAGAGACAGAGACCGGGAGAAAGAGAGAGACGGACAGAGAAAGACCGAGATGGACAGAGAGACAGAGAGAAACAGACAGAAAGAGAGAGAGACAGAGAGAGAGAGAGACAGACAGACAGACAGGCAGGCAGAGAAACAGAGTAAGACAGAAGATAGGCACAGAGAGAGAGAGACAGAGAGACGCAGAAAAAGAAAGAGAGAGGCAGACAGAGAAAGACGGAGACAGGCAGAGAGAAACAGACAGAAAGAGAGAGAGAGAGAGAAAGAGACAGGAAGGGAGAGAGAGAGACAGACAGACAGAGAAAGAGAATAAGACAGAAGACAGACACAGTGAGACAGGCAGAGAGAGAGAGACAGAGAGAGAGAGACAGAGACGGAGACAGAGAGAAGGAGACAGACAGACAGAGAAAGAGACAGACAGAGAAAGACAGAGACAGACAGAGAGAGAAAGAGAAACAGGCAGAGAGAGAGAGAGAGAGAGAGAGAGAGAGCGAGAGAGAAACAGAAAGGGAGGGAGAGAGAGAGAGACAGACAGACAGACGGACAGGCAGAGAAGGAGAGTAAGACAGAGGACAGACACAGTGAGAGAGACAAGCAGAGAGAGAGAGAGAGACAGAGACAGAGACAGACAGAAAGAAAGAGAGAGACAGACAGAAAAAGACAGAGACGGACAGAGAGAGACAGAGAAACAGAGAGAAAGAGAGAAAGACAGAGAGAGCGAGAGAGGGAGAGAGAGAGACAGTGAGAAACAGACAGAAAGAGAGAGAGACGGAGAGAAACAGACAGGGAGAGGGGGAGAGAGAGAGAGAGAGAGAGAGAAACAGAAAGGGAGGGAGAGACAGACAGACAGGCAGAGAAAGAGAGTAAGACAGAAGATAGGCACAGAGAGAGAGAGAGAGAGACAGACAGACAGACAGAGAGAGAGAGACCGACAGAGAGACACAGAAAAAGAAAGAGAGAGGCAGACAGACAGAGAAAGAGACAGACAGAGAAAGACATAGACAGACAGAGAGAGACAGAAACAGACAGAAAGAGAGAGAGAGAAACAGACAGGGAGGGAGAGAGAGAAACAAACAGGGAGGGAGAGAGAGAGAGAGAGACAGACGGGGAGAGAAAGAGAGTAAGACAGAAGACAGACACAGTGAGACAGGCAGAGAGGGAGAGAGAGAGACAAAGACAGAGACAGAGACAGAGAGAAAGAAAGAGACAGACAGACAGAGAAAGAGACACAGAGAGAAAGACAGAGACGAACAGAGAGAAACAGACAGAGAGAAGGCCCTAGCCCAGTAGCAATACAGTGCCTTTTCTTTCATTTTCTCTTTCTTTTCTTTTCTTTTTTTCTTTCTTGTATATCTGTATGCATGGATGTATGTATGTATGTATGTATGTATGTATGTATGTATGTATGTGTGTATTTATTTATGTACGTATTTATCTGGAGACCGGGTCTCACTCTGTCGCCCAGGCTGTAGTGCAGTGGTGCGATCTTGGGTCACTGCAGCCTCCGCCTGCCAGGTTCAAGCAATTCTTCCACCCCAGCCTCCCGAGTAGCTGGGGTTACAGGTGCCTGCCCCACGGCGCCTGACTCCATTTCGTATTTTCAGTAGAGACGGGGGTTTCACCACGTTGGCCGGGCTGGTCTCGAACTCCTGACCTCGGGATGACAGACGTGAGCCACTGCGTTCAGTGTACAGTGCCATTTCTTAGAAATCACTCCTCACGGGAACACACACTTAGAGGTGACGTGTAGAGATTTTATTTATTTAGTTAGTTTAGTTAGTTAGTTAGTTTGTTAGTTAGTTATTATGTGCGCGGGGAGGTGGGGGGACGGAGTTTGGCTCTTGCTGCCCAGGCTACAGTGCAATGGCCTAGGGGACTCAAGGAGTCAACCTACGGCAGAGAGGACACGTCATTCTGAGCGTAAGGGCCACAGCGAAAGGTGGCAGGGCCCGCGCTTTTAAAGGCTGAAATCCCGGCGGCTCAGGCCTGTCGTTTCCAGCACTTTGGGAGGCCCAGGAAGGCGGATCATTTGAGGTCAGGAGTTCGAGACCAGCGTGGCCAACGTGGAGAAACCCCGTCTCTACTGAAAATAGGAATATGAGCCGGCCGTCATGGTGTGCGCCTGTAATCCCAGCTACCGAAGAAGAATCACTGGAACCCGGGAAGCAGAGGTTTCAGTGAGCCGAGAGAGCGCCACCGCACCGCAGCCTGGGTGACAGAGCGAGAGAGACTCAGTCCAAAAAAAAAGAAAGAAAAGAAGAAGAAAAAAAAAGAACGGGCCCAAATACTGCATTGTCGCTGAACGTTCTCCCAAAAGGCCAGAAACCCCCTGACTCAGGTCAAGGAGGTGGTGTTTCGTTTTCTCTCTCCCTCCTCTCTCTCTCTCTCTGTCTCTCTCTGTCTCTCTCTCTCTCTCTCTCTCCTCTCTTCTCCCCCCTAACTTTTATTTGTCGTTCAAGCATACATGTGCAAGACTGTGACATAGGTAAACTTGTGACGGGGGTGTTCAGTGTGCAGATGATTTCATCACCCGGGTAGTCAGTGCTGTGTCCGACAGTATTCGTGTTTTGTTTTCTTCCTGAAGCTGTCTCTCCTTCCACCCCTCCTCCCTCAAGCAGGCTTCCGCGTCCCCGGTCCCCCTCGTTCTGCCCATGCAAGAACTGTCATCTGTAAGTTCCCACTTCTAGATGAGAACACGCGGTATTTAGCCGATCCTTGCTGTCATCTTCGGTGGTGGTGGTGGTGGTGAAAGAGGCATGACACTAAATCGACCCTTAGGACGCTCCCCTCCGTCCCCACCCCGCACCCCCTCCCCACACACACCCTCATTCCCGCACCCCCTCCTCAAACGCAAGAAAGGAAGAAATGAAAGTAAGAGGTGAGCCTGCAAGGCGGTGGAGGCGGGGGATCTCAGAGGGCGAGCAAGCGATGGCGGTCGGGGGATGTGTCGGCTGAGGTATCAAAAATAGGGGACCCAGTTTTCAGCCCCAACACACCCCCTAATCCTCAGCCGCAGCCAGCCTCTGGGTGGGGTTGCGCCTGTCAAAGCTTCCGAATGGAGAGAAGCCCAAGGCTACGGAAGGCATCAGCTCCAACTCCAGGAAGGGAATAAGGCTCTGTGCATACGAATGGGGCTTTGAAAGGCGTTGCCGCGGCTTCCAAAGCGATGCGCTGTGCCTCGCCTCGCCTCGCCCCGCCCAGAGCGAGACTCCGTCTGAAAATAAGTACACAAATAAATCATAAGATAATTCATCAAGAAAGAAAGAAAGAAAGAAAGAAAGAAAGAAAGAAAGAAAGAAAGAAAGAAAGAAAGAAAGGATCAGTAGAGCGATGGTGGTCGTGAGTCATTCCCCGGAGTCCAGGCGCAGTGGCTCACGCCCGTCACGCCAGCACTTTGAGACGCCGGGCAGGAGGGTTGCAAAGAAATGATGAGACCCCGTCTGTGGGAAAACATTTAAAAATGAAGGCCGGGCGCGGTGGCTCACGCCTGTCATCCCAGCACTTCCGGAGGCCGGGGAGGGCGGATCACCTGAGGTCGGGAGTTCGAAACCAGCCCGATCGACATGGAGAAGCCCCGTCTCCACTAAAAATACGAAATCAGCCAGACGTGGCAGCGCATGCCCGCAATCCCGGCTACTCAGGAGGCCGATGCAGGAGAATCGCTTGAAACCGGGAGGCAGAGGTTGCGGTGAGCCAAGATCGCGCCACCGCACTGCAGTCTAGGCCACGAGAGTGAAACTCTGTCTCGGGGGAAAAAAAAACAATTAAAAACGGTGTGGGCACAGTGGCGCGTGCCCGCGGTCCCAGGCTCTGTACTCTGGAGGCTGAGGTGGAAGGATCGCTCGAGTCCAGGAGCGTCCACGCTGCAGGGAGTGAGTTACGACGGCACCACTGCCGGGGTGACGGAGCGAGATGCCGTCTCTAAATCAGTCAATGAGATCACTGGAAGGCGCTCTCTGCGTCTCACTTTCCAAGAGGGTCTCTTTGGGCCAAGCAGGCATGGTGCCTCCCGCCAGTCATCCCAGCACTTTGGGAGGCTGAGGCGGGAGGAAAGAAGGAAGGGAGGAAGGGAGGAAAGAAGAAAAGAAGAAAGGCAGGAAGGCAGGAAAGAAAGAGGGGAAGAGAGAAAAAGAAAAAGAAAGAAAGAAAGAAAGAAAGAAAGAAAGAAAGAAAGAAAAGAGAAGCAAAAAGAAGAAAAGAGAAGGGAAGAAAAGAAAAGCAAACGGGGAAGGGGCATATCTCCTTGACCGGTGACTGCCCAGGATACAGTGGGTCACGGCCGACCGAAGCCTCGACCTGTGGGGCCTCAAGTGATCTTCTCCTCGTCTCAGCCTCCCGAGTAGCCGCGACTACAGGCGGCCATCACCGCGCACAACTCATCTTATAATAACATCATGATTCTCTCGACACGGGGTCTCGCTCCGTCATCCAGGCCGCATCGCCACGGCACGATCTCAGCTCATCGCAACCTCGGCCTCCCCGGTTGGAACAAGTCGCCCGCCCCAGTCTCCCGAGCGGTCGTGATTCCAAGCCCACGCCACCAGGCCCGGCTAATCGTTCTATTTTTCAGAGAGACGGGGTTTCGCCACGTCGGCCAGCCTGGTCTCGAACTCCCGGCCCCAAGCGATCCACCCGCCTCGGCCTCCCAAAGTGCCGGAGTGACAGGCGTGAGCTAGCGTGCCCGGCCCAGATCATCTTTTTCATCAATTGTAGAGAAGGGGTTTCGTCAGCCAACGGGTGGAGGGTGGGGCGGGTTTTACTCAGCCTGCGTACTGTGAAAAGGGGAAGTGAGTGTGCTCTGTGAACTAGATATGGAAATTGTGTGTGTGTGTGCGCGCGTGCGCGTGCGAGAGAGAGAGAGAGAGAGAGAGAGAGAGAGAGAGAGAGAGAGACCAATCCCACCACGAGGACCCGGAAATAGTGTTTGATCTGTGTCCCTGCCTAGTCACCTGTCTTGTGTGTCGATGACTGAGGATTCCACAAATGAAGGTCAGCGGTATCTATTGAGCTGTTTCTCCCTCTCGTGCGTCTCATCTGTGTGCTGGAGAAAGGGAAGAGAAGAGGTTCCGATGGGAAGTTGTCTTCACGCCTGAGGCAGCTGAAGGCAGACCGAAGGGAAGGAGGGCATCCTAGGTGACATTTCCATACCCACGCACCCTTTACAATGCTGGGGCTGCCAGTCCACCCTGTACGTCAACCCACCCCCAAGAACAGCACGGTCCGGGGTGGTCCAGTCTGATCCCAACCGGCCCACCCGGGGCATCCGGTGGAAGTCTTCGCCGGAGGATCCGAAGGCAGCATCAACGCGGTTCCCCTGGGGTCGCCCGGCAAAGGCCAGCCGGGGGAGGGTAGCGGGACGTGACGGGGGGGTGGGGGTCGCATCCGCCTCAGAGCTCCCTGGAAGGTGGCAGGTAGCCGGTGGGGCACGCCGAGCCAGAGACGTCCGGCAGGATATAGATCTGGAAGGCGTGTCAGTCCTCTCCCATACCTCTCCTATGGAAAATGCCAGGGCGGCGGTGGGAGCCTCGGCTGGGGGAGAAGCGGGGACAAGGGGGAGAGGGAAGGAGGCCCTCGGGAGGTTTCGGCACCGAAAACCCACTCAGCCAAGCTCCCTCCGTGTTTCCGGGTCCAAGGTACACCCCGGGAGACGGCAAGAGAAACGTTCACACCGTGCTTTCCGTCTTCGTGTTTATTTCTTTCATCTTTTCCATTTTACGAGAGATGCTCATTTCAACAACCAGACGGCGGATGTGACGGGAGAAGCGTCAAGGCCAGGAGTTTGAGACCAGCGTGAGCAACAGAGCAACACACGTAGGAGAGCCCAGCTGAAAGAAATGAAAGAGGAGGAGGAGGAGGAGGAGGAGGAGGAGGAGGAGGAGGAGGAGGAGGACGACGACAAGGGGGGGTGGGGGGGGAGGAGAAGGAAAGAAAAGAAAAGAAAAAAAAGAAAAAGGAAAACAACCACCACCAAGAAAGTTAAGATTCTCCAACGGTCGGAAGTTGAAGACCAGCCTGACCAAGATGGAGAAACCCCATCTGTAGTAAAAATAGAAAAATTAGCCGGGCACGATGGCTCATCTCTGTCATTCCAGCTACTCGGGAAGGCTGAGGCAGGAGAATCACTTGAACCTGGGAGGCGGAGGGTGCGGTGAGCCGAGAGCCGCCATCGTACTCCACCCTGGGCGACAAGAGTGAAACTCCGTCTAAAGAGAATAAAAAGAAAGAACGAAAAGGCGGATCGGTGAGATGCGTCTGGAAATTTTCTTCGTTCGCAGTCCCCGTATTAAAAACGGAAAGAACCGACCCACGACAAACACGACCAGAGCGTACCGTGCCCACGCGTGTCATCACAGCACTCCGGGAGGCCGATGCGGGAGGATCTCTGGAGCCTAAAAGTTCGAGATCACCTCGACACGTGAGATGACGCCTACAATAATAATAATCATAGAAGTTTGAAAAGAGACCACGTGTGCCCAGAGCATGGACAATAAAGCGAGAGCACATCCGTACTAAAAAGAAGACGATTGATAGGCAGGCAGGCAGGCAGGCAGGCAGGCAGGCAGGCAGGCAGGCAGGCAGGCAGGCAAATGTAGAAGGAGCCAGGCGCAGCGTCTCACGCCTGTAATAGCAGCAGTGTGGGCGGCCGAGGCAGGCAGGCGGATTGCTTGAGGACAGGAGTTCGAGACCAGCGTGGGCAACATGATAGAACCCCGAAACCCATCTCACTCACATACATACATACATACGTACATACATAGATACACACACACACACACACACACACACACACACACACACACACACACACACACATACCTACCTACGGAAAACATGAGAAACAACATAAAAGTCAGCCGGTGTGGTGGTGCGCGCCTGTAGTCTCAGGTAATGGGGATGGGAGGGATCAGAGGCAGAACGACCGTTTGGTCGGTCCAAAGCGTTGAGGTTGGGGTGATCCTGGGCGGCAGAGACAGAGGAAGACCCTGCCAGTAAGGGAGGGAAGGAAGGAAGGAAGGAGGGAAGGAAGGAAGGAAGGAAGGAAGGAAGGAAGGAAGGAAATAAACAGGCAAGCAGGCAAGCAAACGATGAACGTGACAATGACACAGAAGAACCCATGAGAATAAACGAGCAAATAACAGGGTATGAATGAAGCTAAAAGGCAATTGAGATCGCAATCAATCGTTTTCTCTGCACCCCACCCCACCGCAGCCCACGTAAGCTGGAGTGGAAGTGTGCGATCACAGCCCACGTTAACCTCTCCCTCCCGGGCTTAAGAGATCCCTGTAGTCCCAGCTATTTGGGAGGCTGAGGTCACCAGAGCGCAGAGACAGAAGACCAGGCGGGCCGGCCCCAAAAGAAAAGAAAATAAATAAACGAAAATTATTAATAAATAATGAATGAAGGAAGGGAGGAAGGATATACATACACGTGTATGTAAATGAAATGGGGCTTCGATACATATTCATCCATTAAAAGTAACATAATATAAACGTATTAATTATGGAAATATCATTTACATAGTTTTATCACTACGGGGGGTGTGTGTGTGTGTGTGTGTGTGTGTGTGTGTGTGTGTGTGTGTGTGTGTGTGTGTATGTGTAGATGTATGTTCATACACGGCAGCGTTCAGAAAATAAGATTGAAAAAAGGAAGGAATCGGCCGGGCATGGTGGCTCACATCTGTACTCCCAGCAGTCTTTGGGAGGCCGAGGCGGGCGGATCACTAGGTCGGGAGTTCGAGACCAGCCCGGCCAAAATGGTGAAATTACGTCTTTACTCGAAATAGAAAACTTGCTGTTTGCTTGAACCGTGGAGGCAGAGGCAGCAGCAGCAGCGAGCCGAGAAGGCACCAAGGAGGGAGGGAGGGGAGAGAGACAGAGAGAGAGAGAGAGAGAGAGAAAGAAAGAAAGAAAGAAAGAAAGAAAGAAAAGAAAGAAAGAAAGAAAGAAAGAAAGAAAGAAAGAAAACGCAAGGCAAAACCAAAAAGCAAAAAAGGAGGAAGCATTACTGGCTGACGGCAGCAGTGACTCCCTCTTAAAAGTCCCGCGGACGCAAACTCGCAGTGGGGCTGAAAAAAATGTAGAAGAGGGAGTTCCGCGTGGTCCCAGCTCCACCGCGGGCCGAGGCCGGTGGAGGTCGCCGGCGCGTGAACCGGAATCGACGCCCTCGCGTCGGTGCGCCGCAGCGTCCGGCGGCCGCCTGCTGGTCGACCCGGGACACGTGCAGACGCCAGCTAAGTCCGGAGCTCGCGGGCGGCAGCTGGTCGACCCCGGAGGTGCCGACCGAGACGGGGACGCGGCGGGTCCGGCTCGTCCCGACGGGCACTCTTACACGCCGCTCGGTGGAGAAGGCCCGCCGGTCGACCCGGGACACGGCGAGACAGCGGCTAAGTGTCAAGAGCCGAGAAGGCACCAAGGAAGGGGAGAGAGGGAGGGAGGGGGAGGGAGAGAGAGAGAGAGAGAGAGAGAGAGAGAGAGAGAGAGAGAGAGAGAGAGAGACAGAGAGAGACAGAGAGAAAGAGAGAGAGAGAGAGGGCGAGAGCGAGAGACAGAGAGAGAGAGAGAGAGAGAGAGAGAAAGAGAAAGAGAAAGAAAACGAGCGAGGGAGAGAGCGAGAGAGCGAGAGCGAGAAAGAAAGAAAGAAAGAAAGAAAGAAAGAAAGAAAGAAAGAAAGAAAGAAAAAAAAAAAAAAAAAAAAAAGGCAAGACAAAACCTAAAAGCAAAAAAGGAGGAAGCATTACTGGCTGACGGCAGCAGTGACTCCCTCTTAAAAGTCCCGCGGACGCAAACTCGCGGTGGGGCTGAAAAAAATGTAGAAGAGGGAGTTCCGCGTGGTCCCAGCTCCACCGCGGGCCGAGGCCGGTGGAGGTCGCCGGCGCGTGAACCGGAATCGACGCCCTCGCGTCGGTGCGCCGCAGCGTCCGGCGGCCGCCTGCTGGTCGACCCGGGACACGTGCAGACGCCAGCTAAGTCCGGAGCTCGCGGGCGGCAGCTGGTCGACCCCGGAGGTGCCGACCGAGACGGGGACGCGGCGGGTCCGGCTCGTCCCGACGGGCACTCTTACACGCCGCTCGGTGGAGAAGGCCCGCCGGTCGACCCGGGACACGGCGAGACAGCGGCTAAGTGTCAAGAGCCGAGAAGGCACCAAGGAAGGGGAGAGAGGGAGGGAGGGGGAGGGAGAGAGAGAGAGAGAGAGAGAGAGAGAGAGAGAGAGAGAGAGAGAGAGAGAGACAGAGAGAGACAGAGAGAAAGAGAGAGAGAGAGAGGGCGAGAGCGAGAGACAGAGAGAGAGAGAGAGAGAGAGAGAGAAAGAGAAAGAGAAAGAAAACGAGAGAGGGAGAGAGCGAGAGAGCGAGAGCGGCAAAGAAAGAAAGAAAGAAAGAAAGAAAGAAAGAAAGAAAGAAAGAAAGAAGAAAAAAAAAAAAAAAAAAAGGCAAGACAAAACCTAAAAGCAAAAAAGGAGGAAGCATTACTGGCTGACGGCAGCAGTGACTCCCTCTTAAAAGTCCCGCGGACGCAAACTCGCGGTGGGGCTGAAAAAAATGTAGGAGAGGGAGTTCCGCGTGGTCCCAGCTCCACGGCGGGCCGAGGCCGGTGGAGGTCGCGGGCGCGTGAACGGGAATCAGCGCCCTCGCGTCGGTGCGCCGCAGCGTCCGGCGGCCGCCTGCTGGTCGACCCGGGACACGTGCAGACGCCGGCTAAGTCCGGAGCTCGCGGGCGGCAGCTGGTCGACCCCGGAGGTGCCGACCGAGACGGGGACGCGGCGGGTCCGGCTCGTCCCGACGGGCACTCTTACACGCCGCTCGGTGGAGAAGGCCCGCCGGTCGACCCGGGGCACGGCGAGACAGCGGCTAAGTCTCAAGAGCCGAGAAGGCACCAAGGAAGGGGAGGGAGGGAGGGAGGGAGGGAGGGAGGGAGGGAGGGAGGGAGGGAGAGAGACAGACACACACAGAGACAGAGAGAGAGCGAGAGGGCGTCGCCGCCCGCCGCCCACCACCCGCGGTCTGCTGGTCGACCCGTGCGGAGGAGCGAGGAGGAAGGACGCGCGAGGGCCGGGACCCCGGGTGGCCGCCCCACCGGGGCCCGCGCGGCCAACCCCCGGGACGGGGACCGGCGGGCCACGGGCCCGGCTCGGCGCGGCCGCCTCCGCGGCTCCCAAACCACGCTCCCCGGACCCCGTCCCGGCCCGGAGCGGACGAGCCGCCCCGGCGGTGAACGGGGAGGAGGCGGGAACCGAAGAAGCGGGGCGCGCCGACCGGGGTCGCGCGCCCTCCCCCCCACACCCCCACCACCACGCCCGCGGTCGGCGGGAGAGGCCGGGAGGGAGGAAGACGAACGGAAGGACGGACGGCGCCGGACGCGCACGCCCCGCCGGGCCCCCCGCACGCGCGCGCGCGCGCGCGCGCGGACAAACCCTTGTGTCGAGGGCTGACTTTCAATAGATCGCAGCGAGGGAGCTGCTCTGCTACGTACGAAACCCCGACCCAGAAGCAGGTCGTCTACGAATGGTTTAGCGCCAGGTTCCCCACGAACGTGCGGTGCGTGACGGGCGAGGGGGCGGCCGCCTCTCCGGCCGCGCCCCGTTTCCCAGGACGAAGGGCACTCCGCACCGGACCCCGGTCCCGGCGCGCGGCGGGGCACGCGCCCTCCCGCGCGCGCGGGGCGCGTGGAGGGGGGGGGCGGCCCGCCGGCGGGGACAGGCGGGGGACCGGCTATCCGAGGCCAACCGAGGCTCCGCGGCGCTGCCGTATCGTTCCGCCTGGGCGGGATTCTGACTTAGAGGCGTTCAGTCATAATCCCACAGATGGTAGCTTCGCCCCATTGGCTCCTCAGCCAAGCACATACACCAAATGTCTGAACCTGCGGTTCCTCTCGTACTGAGCAGGATTACCATGGCAACAACACATCATCAGTAGGGTAAAACTAACCTGTCTCACGACGGTCTAAACCCAGCTCACGTTCCCTATTAGTGGGTGAACAATCCAACGCTTGGTGAATTCTGCTTCACAATGATAGGAAGAGCCGACATCGAAGGATCAAAAAGCGACGTCGCTATGAACGCTTGGCCGCCACAAGCCAGTTATCCCTGTGGTAACTTTTCTGACACCTCCTGCTTAAAACCCAAAAGGTCAGAAGGATCGTGAGGCCCCGCTTTCACGGTCTGTATTCGTACTGAAAATCAAGATCAAGCGAGCTTTTGCCCTTCTGCTCCACGGGAGGTTTCTGTCCTCCCTGAGCTCGCCTTAGGACACCTGCGTTACCGTTTGACAGGTGTACCGCCCCAGTCAAACTCCCCACCTGGCACTGTCCCCGGAGCGGGTCGCGCCCGGCCGGCGCGCGGCCGGGCGCTTGGCGCCAGAAGCGAGAGCCCCTCGGGGCTCGCCCCCCCGCCTCACCGGGTCAGTGAAAAAACGATCAGAGTAGTGGTATTTCACCGGCGGCCCGCAGGGCCGGCGGACCCCGCCCCGGGCCCCTCGCGGGGACACCGGGGGGGCGCCGGGGGCCTCCCACTTATTCTACACCTCTCATGTCTCTTCACCGTGCCAGACTAGAGTCAAGCTCAACAGGGTCTTCTTTCCCCGCTGATTCCGCCAAGCCCGTTCCCTTGGCTGTGGTTTCGCTGGATAGTAGGTAGGGACAGTGGGAATCTCGTTCATCCATTCATGCGCGTCACTAATTAGATGACGAGGCATTTGGCTACCTTAAGAGAGTCATAGTTACTCCCGCCGTTTACCCGCGCTTCATTGAATTTCTTCACTTTGACATTCAGAGCACTGGGCAGAAATCACATCGCGTCAACACCCGCCGCGGGCCTTCGCGATGCTTTGTTTTAATTAAACAGTCGGATTCCCCTGGTCCGCACCAGTTCTAAGTCGGCTGCTAGGCGCCGGCCGAGGCGAGGCGCCGCGCGGAACCGCGGCCCCGGGGGCGGACCCGGCGGGGGGGACCGGCCCGCGGCCCCTCCGCCGCCTGCCGCCGCCGCCGCCGCGCGCCGAGGAGGAGGGGGGAACGGGGGGCGGACGGGGCCGGGGGGGTAGGGCGGGGGGACGAACCGCCCCGCCCCGCCGCCCGCCGACCGCCGCCGCCCGACCGCTCCCCGCCCCCAGCGGACGCGCGCGCGACGAGACGTGGGGTGGGGGGGGGGGCGCGCCGGCGCCCGCCGGGCTCCCCGGGGGCGGCCGCGACGCCCGCCGCAGCTGGGGCGATCCACGGGAAGGGCCCGGCTCGCGTCCAGAGTCGCCGCCGCCGCCGGCCCCCCGGGTGCCCGGGCCCCCCTCGCGGGGGACCGTGCCCCCGCCGCCGGGGCCCCGCGGCGGGCCGCCGCCGGCCCCTGCCGCCCCGACCCTTCTCCCCCCGCCGCCGCCCCCACGCGGCGCTCCCCCGGGGAGGGGGGAGGACGGGGAGCGGGGGAGAGAGAGAGAGAGAGGGCGCGGGGCGGGGAGGGAGCGAGCGGCGCGCGCGGGGTGGGGCGGGGGAGGGCCGCGAGGGGGGTGCCCCGGGCGTGGGGGGGGCGGCGGCGCCTCGTCCAGCCGCGGCGCGCGCCCAGCCCCGCTTCGCGCCCCAGCCCGACCGACCCAGCCCTTAGAGCCAATCCTTATCCCGAAGTTACGGATCCGGCTTGCCGACTTCCCTTACCTACATTGTTCCAACATGCCAGAGGCTGTTCACCTTGGAGACCTGCTGCGGATATGGGTACGGCCCGGCGCGAGATTTACACCCTCTCCCCCGGATTTTCAAGGGCCAGCGAGAGCTCACCGGACGCCGCCGGAACCGCGACGCTTTCCAAGGCACGGGCCCCTCTCTCGGGGCGAACCCATTCCAGGGCGCCCTGCCCTTCACAAAGAAAAGAGAACTCTCCCCGGGGCTCCCGCCGGCTTCTCCGGGATCGGTCGCGTTACCGCACTGGACGCCTCGCGGCGCCCATCTCCGCCACTCCGGATTCGGGGATCTGAACCCGACTCCCTTTCGATCGGCCGAGGGCAACGGAGGCCATCGCCCGTCCCTTCGGAACGGCGCTCGCCCATCTCTCAGGACCGACTGACCCATGTTCAACTGCTGTTCACATGGAACCCTTCTCCACTTCGGCCTTCAAAGTTCTCGTTTGAATATTTGCTACTACCACCAAGATCTGCACCTGCGGCGGCTCCACCCGGGCCCGCGCCCTAGGCTTCAAGGCTCACCGCAGCGGCCCTCCTACTCGTCGCGGCGTAGCGTCCGCGGGGCTCCGGGGGCGGGGAGCGGGGCGTGGGCGGGAGGAGGGGAGGAGGCGTGGGGGGGGGGCGGGGGAGGACCCCACACACCCCCGCCGCCGCCGCCGCCCTCCGACGCACACCACACGCGCGCGCGCGCGCGCCGCCCCCGCCGCTCCCGTCCACTCTCGACTGCCGGCGACGGCCGGGTATGGGCCCGACGCTCCAGCGCCATCCATTTTCAGGGCTAGTTGATTCGGCAGGTGAGTTGTTACACACTCCTTAGCGGATTCCGACTTCCATGGCCACCGTCCTGCTGTCTATATCAACCAACACCTTTTCTGGGGTCTGATGAGCGTCGGCATCGGGCGCCTTAACCCGGCGTTCGGTTCATCCCGCAGCGCCAGTTCTGCTTACCAAAAGTGGCCCACTAGGCACTCGCATTCCACGCCCGGCTCCACGCCAGCGAGCCGGGCTTCTTACCCATTTAAAGTTTGAGAATAGGTTGAGATCGTTTCGGCCCCAAGACCTCTAATCATTCGCTTTACCGGATAAAACTGCGTGGCGGGGGTGCGTCGGGTCTGCGAGAGCGCCAGCTATCCTGAGGGAAACTTCGGAGGGAACCAGCTACTAGATGGTTCGATTAGTCTTTCGCCCCTATACCCAGGTCGGACGACCGATTTGCACGTCAGGACCGCTACGGACCTCCACCAGAGTTTCCTCTGGCTTCGCCCTGCCCAGGCATAGTTCACCATCTTTCGGGTCCTAACACGTGCGCTCGTGCTCCACCTCCCCGGCGCGGCGGGCGAGACGGGCCGGTGGTGCGCCCTCGGCGGACTGGAGAGGCCTCGGGATCCCACCTCGGCCGGCGAGCGCGCCGGCCTTCACCTTCATTGCGCCACGGCGGCTTTCGTGCGAGCCCCCGACTCGCGCACGTGTTAGACTCCTTGGTCCGTGTTTCAAGACGGGTCGGGTGGGTAGCCGACGTCGCCGCCGACCCCGTGCGCTCGCTCCGCCGTCCCCCTCTTCGGGGGACGCGCGCGTGGCCCCGAGAGAACCTCCCCCCGGGCCCGACGGCGCGACCCGCCCGGGGCGCACTGGGGACAGTCCGCCCCGCCCCCCGACCCGCGCGCGGCACCCCCCCCGTCGCCGGGGCGGGGGCGCGGGGAGGATGGGTGGGACAGTCTTCTCGCCGTGGGAGGGGTGGCCCGGTCCCCCCACAAGGAGACGCCGGCGCGCCCCCGCGGGGGAGACCCCCCTCGCGGGGGATTCCCCGCGGGGGTGGGCGCCGGGAGGGGGGAGAGCGCGGCGACGGGTCTCGCTCCCTCGGCCCCGGGATTCGGCGAGTGCTGCTGCCGGGGGGGCTGTAACACTCGGGGGGGGTTTCGGTCCCGCCGCCGCCGCCGCCGCCGCCACCGCCGCCGCCGCCCCGACCCGCGCGCCCTCCCGAGGGAGGACGCGGGGCCGGGGCGGAGACGGGGAGGAGGAGGACGGACGGACGGACGGACGGGGCCCCCCGAGCCACCTTCCCCGCCGGCCTTCCCAGCCGTCCCGGAGCCGGTCGCGGCGCACCGCCGCGGTGGAAATGCGCCCGGCGGCGGCCGGTCGCCGGTCGGGGGACGGTCCCCCGCCGACCCCACCCCCGGCCCCGCCCGCCCACCCCCGCACCCGCCGGAGCCCGCCCCCTCCGGGGAGGAGGAGGAGGGGCGGCGGGGGAAGGGAGGGCGGGTGGAGGGGTCGGGAGGAACGGGGGGCGGGAAAGATCCGCCGGGCCGCCGACACGGCCGGACCCGCCGCCGGGTTGAATCCTCCGGGCGGACTGCGCGGACCCCACCCGTTTACCTCTTAACGGTTTCACGCCCTCTTGAACTCTCTCTTCAAAGTTCTTTTCAACTTTCCCTTACGGTACTTGTTGACTATCGGTCTCGTGCCGGTATTTAGCCTTAGATGGAGTTTACCACCCGCTTTGGGCTGCATTCCCAAGCAACCCGACTCCGGGAAGACCCGGGCCCGGCGCGCCGGGGGCCGCTACCGGCCTCACACCGTCCACGGGCTGGGCCTCGATCAGAAGGACTTGGGCCCCCCACGAGCGGCGCCGGGGAGCGGGTCTTCCGTACGCCACATGTCCCGCGCCCCGCCGCGGGGCGGGGATTCGGCGCTGGGCTCTTCCCTGTTCACTCGCCGTTACTGAGGGAATCCTGGTTAGTTTCTTTTCCTCCGCTGACTAATATGCTTAAATTCAGCGGGTCGCCACGTCTGATCTGAGGTCGCGTCTCGGAGGGGGACGGGCCGCTCGGCGGACGGACGGACGGAATCGCGCCGGCCCGACCGCCCGCCCGACGCTCCGTCGGGAGACGGGCCCGGCGAGGGGGAGAGGCGACGGGAGAGAGAGCCGCGGCCGAGGGCACCCCCGCGCCGCCCCGCCGGAGCGGGACGACCGGAGGGAGGGGCACGGGCCGGGGGCGGGACGGGCGCCGCACGCCCCGACCCGTCTCCCCCGCGGAGGTCGGGGGGACGGGTCCGAGGACGCGGCGGCGGAGCCGCCCCGCCCCGACGCGGAAGCTCGGGACGGGGCCCCGGCGCGGCGCGGCGCGGCCGCGAGCCGGAGGCGGGCGCGCGACGGCGGACGACACCGCGGCGTCCCGCGGGTCGCCGCCGGGGACACGCGAACCCCGGCGCCGCGGCCACGGGCGCGGCCGGGCGGGCCGCGGGGCGGGCTCCCGGCCCCGGCCGACGCGCCGCGAGGCGAGCCGGGCGGGCGGGCGCGCGTACGCGCGGGGAGGGCGAGGAGGACAGGGCGGGCCCTCGGAGGAGGGGCGGCGGGGGAGGAGGAGGGGCGCGGGAGCGGCGGTCGGCGGACGCCGGGCGCCACCGGGGGCGGGCGGCGAACCGCGGCGACCGGGACGCGCTCCCCCGACCCTCTCTCCCCGCCGGCACCCTTCCCCTTCCGGACCCGCCTTCCTCCTCCCCCACCACCACACCGCACGCAACACGCCCCCACCGCCGACGACGCGCGACGACGACGACGACGGGCACGGGACCTTCCACCCGGCCGGGGCCGACGAACCCCGAACCCCGAGCCGCGCGCGGCGCGAGGGAGCCCCCCGAGGGAGGAACCCGGACCGCAGGCGGCGGCCACGGGAACTCGGCCCGAGCCGGCTCTCTCTTTCCCTCTCCGTCTTCGCGGGCGGCGGCGGCGCCGCCCTCCCCGTCTCTCTCAGCCGGGCGCGCCCCCCTCTCCCCCCCGCCACCCGACGCGTGACCACGCAGGGCCCGCGGGGGGAGGGGGAAGGGGCGGGCGCGGCGGCAAGAGGAGGGCGGACGCCGCCGGGTCTGCGCTTAGGGGGACGGAGGGCCCCCGGCGGGCCCTGCGAGGGAACCCCCAGCCGCGCACCCCGAGGAGCCCGGAGGCACCCCCGGGGGCGATTGATCGGCAAGCGACGCTCAGACAGGCGTAGCCCCGGGAGGAACCCGGGGCCGCAAGTGCGTTCGAAGTGTCGATGATCAATGTGTCCTGCAATTCACATTAATTCTCGCAGCTAGCTGCGTTCTTCATCGACGCACGAGCCGAGTGATCCACCGCTAAGAGTCGTACGAGGTCGATTTGGCGAGGGCGCTCCCGACGACGCACCGGGAGGAGGCCCTTCCTGGCGCGGCACGTCCCCCCGCCCCCCCCCAAGAGGAGAGGGGGTTGCCTCAGGCCGGCCAGACGAGACAGCAAACGGGACCGGACTCCGGAGAGGGGTCGGAAGGTTTCACACCACGGGGAGGCGCGCGCCGCCCACGCGGGGGCGAGCGCGGACACCACCCCACAGGCGCCCGGGGGTTCCCGCCCCCACGGCGCGGGGCGCACGCCACACGCGCGGCAGGCGCGCGACGGCCGCCGGGTAAAGCCCCCACCCGACGGCCGCCGCGGCGGCGGCGGCGGCGCGGCCCCGGCCGGGGAGCGGAGTCCGCGGTGGAGGCGCGGGAGGGGCCGGGCCCCTCCCGACGGGACTCCCCCGCGGGCCCACCACCGCCCCCGACCCACGGGCGGACGGGCGATCCCCCCAAGGGGTCTTTAAACCTCCGCGCCGGAACGCGCTAGGTACCTGGACGGCGGGGGGGCGGACGAGGAGGCGGGGGAGGGGACCGGCGTCCGGCCCCCGACCCTCGAGACGCCCTAGCGGGAAGGCCGGGGAGAGCGAGCGGGGCCGTGCCCGGCGGCGCGGAGCGGCGCGGCGGAGGCGACGGGAATCCGGCCGGCCCCGAAGACGGGGAGCCGGCGCGGCGGGGCCGGACGACGGGCCCCGGCGGGGAGGAGGGCACCGAGACCCCCAGACCCGCCGCGACGCCGCCGAGAACCGCCCCCGCGCCCGCCGACACCCACGCCGTCGGGGCCGCTGCCGGGGACCGCTCCCCGCCGCCCGCCGGCCCCACGACACGCGCACACCAACGACACGCCCTTCTTTCTCTTTCTCTCTCTCTCTCTCTCTCCCCCGTCTCCCTCCCGAGTTCTCCGGCTCTCGCGGCCGGCGGGGCCGGGCGGCGAACGAACGAGCGAGCGAACGAACGGGCACGCGGGCCCCGCCCGCGCACGCGCCGCGTCGCGGTGGGGGGGTGGGTGTGCGGAGGGAAGCGCGCGGCGGCGGCGCCGCCGCGGGCCTCGCCCTCCGGGCTCCGTTAATGATCCTTCCGCAGGTTCACCTACGGAAACCTTGTTACGACTTTTACTTCCTCTAGATAGTCAAGTTCGACCGTCTTCTCAGCGCTCCGCCAGGGCCGTGGGCCGACCCCGGCGGGGCCGATCCGAGGGCCTCACTAAACCATCCAATCGGTAGTAGCGACGGGCGGTGTGTACAAAGGGCAGGGACTTAATCAACGCAAGCTTATGACCCGCACTTACTGGGAATTCCTCGTTCATGGGGAATAATTGCAATCCCCGATCCCCATCACGAATGGGGTTCAACGGGTTACCCGCGCCTGCCGGCGTAGGGTAGGCACACGCTGAGCCAGTCAGTGTAGCGCGCGTGCAGCCCCGGACATCTAAGGGCATCACAGACCTGTTATTGCTCAATCTCGGGTGGCTGAACGCCACTTGTCCCTCTAAGAAGTTGGGGGACGCCGACCGCTCGGGGGTCGCGTAACTAGTTAGCATGCCAGAGTCTCGTTCGTTATCGGAATTAACCAGACAAATCGCTCCACCAACTAAGAACGGCCATGCACCACCACCCACGGAATCGAGAAAGAGCTATCAATCTGTCAATCCTGTCCGTGTCCGGGCCGGGTGAGGTTTCCCGTGTTGAGTCAAATTAAGCCGCAGGCTCCACTCCTGGTGGTGCCCTTCCGTCAATTCCTTTAAGTTTCAGCTTTGCAACCATACTCCCCCCGGAACCCAAAGACTTTGGTTTCCCGGAAGCTGCCCGGCGGGTCATGGGAATAACGCCGCCGCATCGCCGGTCGGCATCGTTTATGGTCGGAACTACGACGGTATCTGATCGTCTTCGAACCTCCGACTTTCGTTCTTGATTAATGAAAACATTCTTGGCAAATGCTTTCGCTCTGGTCCGTCTTGCGCCGGTCCAAGAATTTCACCTCTAGCGGCGCAATACGAATGCCCCCGGCCGTCCCTCTTAATCATGGCCTCAGTTCCGAAAACCAACAAAATAGAACCGCGGTCCTATTCCATTATTCCTAGCTGCGGTATCCAGGCGGCTCGGGCCTGCTTTGAACACTCTAATTTTTTCAAAGTAAACGCTTCGGGCCCCGCGGGACACTCAGCTAAGAGCATCGAGGGGGCGCCGAGAGGCAAGGGGCGGGGACGGGCGGTGGCTCGCCTCGCGGCGGACCGCCCGCCCGCTCCCAAGATCCAACTACGAGCTTTTTAACTGCAGCAACTTTAATATACGCTATTGGAGCTGGAATTACCGCGGCTGCTGGCACCAGACTTGCCCTCCAATGGATCCTCGTTAAAGGATTTAAAGTGGACTCATTCCAATTACAGGGCCTCGAAAGAGTCCTGTATTGTTATTTTTCGTCACTACCTCCCCGGGTCGGGAGTGGGTAATTTGCGCGCCTGCTGCCTTCCTTGGATGTGGTAGCCGTTTCTCAGGCTCCCTCTCCGGAATCGAACCCTGATTCCCCGTCACCCGTGGTCACCATGGTAGGCACGGCGACTACCATCGAAAGTTGATAGGGCAGACGTTCGAATGGGTCGTCGCCGCCACGGGGGGCGTGCGATCGGCCCGAGGTTATCTAGAGTCACCAAAGCCGCCGGCGCCCGCCCCCCGGCCGGGGCCGGAGAGGGGCTGACCGGGTTGGTTTTGATCTGATAAATGCACGCATCCCCCCCGCGAAGGGGGTCAGCGCCCGTCGGCATGTATTAGCTCTAGAATTACCACAGTTATCCAAGTAGGAGAGGAGCGAGCGACCAAAGGAACCATAACTGATTTAATGAGCCATTCGCAGTTTCACTGTACCGGCCGTGCGTACTTAGACATGCATGGCTTAATCTTTGAGACAAGCATATGCTACTGGCAGGATCAACCAGGTAGGTAAGGTAGAGCGCGGCGAGGCCCCGACGCGGCCGGACGGCCGGCCGGGGGGCCTCGCGAGGACGGGCCCGGCGCCCCGCAAGCGAGGAGGACGACGGACGGACGGACGGACGGGCCGCGGACGGGCGGACGGGAGGGAGCGAGCGGGCGCGGGGGCGGCGGCCGGGACCGGTGGGGCCGGGGCGGGGCGCGGCGAACCGGACGCCCCAACCACCCGCCCCCCACGCGACACGACCACCGGGGCCCCGCGCCACAGACCCGCGACGCTTCTTCGTCGCGCCCGCCCGCGAGGAGGCGGACGGCCCGACCCGCGCCCGGCGGCCGGGAGGGACCGGCGGCCACGCGCGCGCGCATGGCGCCCGCGGGCGCGCGCAGGCGGGGACGGCGCTCCGCCGCCCCGCGGGCACCCGACGTCCGGGCGCGAGCGAGAGGCGGACCGCGGTGCCCGGCCCGGGGACAGTCGCGCCGTGCGCCGCAGCGCCCGCGCACCGGTCCGGTCGAGTGCCCGGGGCCGTCCGAAGCCCGGCTCCGAGCCCCGCCGGCGGCGCGGCGCAGGGGTGGCACACGCCACACGACGGCCAAGGGAGGGCGACCGAGGCCGGCCGGCGCGCCCGCCCCGCCCGGGACGGGGGACCGCGACCGGGGCCGAGGCCCGGCCCGGGCCCCACCCCCCGACCCGGGGAGAGGGCGAGCGACCGGCAAGGCGGAGGTCGACCCACGCCACACGTCGCACGAACGCCTGTCCGGGAGGGACCACCGGGCCGGCTCGGGCACGCGCGCGCCGAACGGGCGACGCCACGCGGGGAGGACGGGCTCTCCCCGACGCCGACGCCCGGGACGGACGCCTCGGGGAAAGGGCCGCGGCAGGCCCGGGAAGCGAGCGCACCCGGGGGACGCGCCGACCCGGTTCGGAAGAGCGGGCCGGGAGAAGACGAGAGACCACGGCGAGGCGGGGCGACGGGGAAGGCGCGAGAAAGGCGGCCGGCGGGGAAAGGGGACGCACGGGACCCTCGAGCGCGGCCGACCGCAGCCGGGACACACGCGCGGGGCCTCACCGCCGCCGGCGGCACCGCGCGGCACCCGGGGCGGCCGACCGGCCCTCGGCGATCCCCGCGGCTCCCCCCACCACCGCCGCCGCAGTCGCGGCCGGTCCCCCGGAACCGTCTCCTCCCCCGCACGCGCCGCAGGCCGACCCCCGGAACCCTCCGGGAAGCCCACCGGGCCCCACGCGGGGCGCCACCGACCCGGTCCCCAAGGCGCGCGCCGGGGGACGCGGACGCCGGGCCGATCAGTGGCCGGCGGCGGCGCCCCACGAGGCGGTGCCGGGTTCGGTCCCAGGCGGGGCCACCAACGGACGTGAAGCCGGTGAGCCGCTCGGGGGGAAGAAGAGGATCGGCGGGCGGCGGGCGGGGAAGAGGGCACAGACGGGCGAGGGCCGGGGACCGCGAGGGCAAGGGCACCCGGGAGCCCGCAGAGGCGGCGGCTCCGGGAGAAACCTCAGGCACGGCCGGGCCACCAGGAAAACACGGCCGCGGGATCCCACCGCCACAGACACGAGGGCGGTCCCGCGGCGCCCCGCCTGGGACGCCGGACGGCCCTCGGCCCCCACCGAGAACCGCCTCGCGAGCCCCGGGGCCCCGCCACCGGGGGCCCCGGAGCGACCGCAGCCACGAACCCGACACGCCACCACCACCGTCGCTCGTGATTCTCGTCCATCCTCCGACCCGGTCCCGCTCCGGGAGACCGGCGCGCCCCCACCGTGGGACGCTTTCCCAGGGCCAGGCGGGCCCGACCCCGTGCCACGCAAACGCGGTCGTCGGCACCGGTCACGACTCGGCACGGGAGCGGGCGGAGAGCCGACTCGCGGCGGAGGGAGTCACGCGCCGGACAGAGCGCCGGGCGCGCACACCCACCGCCCGCCGGCCGCCGCGTCCCAACCCGCTGGGACGCCGGGCCCGGCCCGGCGGGATCCTCCCCCGACTCGGAAGGGGGAGGCGCGGGCCACAGTAGGCGACGAGCCGCACTCGGCCACCACCGCGGTGGCCGGCGGAACCCTCGCTTCTCCCCCCCAACCCCGTCGAGGGGGAAGCGGAGGAGGGTCCTCTGCGAGCGGGTCGCTACGGCAGCGCTACCATAACGGAGGCAGAGACAGAGGCGGCGGCCCGGGGGATCCGGTACCCCCAAGGCACGCCTCTCAGATCGCTAGAGAAGGCTTTTCTCACCGAGGGTGGGTCACACTCCCCCCACCCGCCAGCCGCTCCTCCTCGGGCCCGCAGAGGCGCCGAGGGACGCCTGGGGAAGGGAGGGGGCCCTGCGGTACGAGGAAACACCTGCGCGCGGCCACCTCGAGCGTTCGCGTTCAGGGCGGGGGCCCGGCCGGTGCGCGCGTGCGCGCAACCCCACCAGGCCCCCCCGTCCACCCACCTCCTTCCTTCCGAGGCAGAGCGCCTCCGAAGTCAACCCACACACGACCGGTCGGAGGCAGAACGGCAGCCCCTCGGCGGCCGGCCGGCGCACGCGTCACACCGGCCCGAACCCACCGCGATCGCTCACACGGCCCGCGCGCACCCGCCAGAGGGGAGCACGGGACGTGCGCTCACCGAGAGCAGGCGGGCGCCCTTCCCCGCGTGGGAGGGGCGCGTCTCGTCTCGTCTCACTCAAACCGCCCCGAACCCCACACCGACGAGCTCCCTCAGGACCCACGCGCGGACACCGCGGCGGCGACCGGAGGAGGGGGCGCCGGGGGCGGGAACGACACACCACCGTTCGGCCTCGGGCACCTGAGGGACAACCCGGAGCGCTCCAGGAGCACCGCAAGGGCCCAGGCGGAGCCGACGCTCGCGCAAACCCCCCGAGAGGGCAGCACGACGGGCCGGCGGGACGGCACCCCCACCGCCGCGGAGGGGGGCCGCCCGCAAGTCGACAACCACTGGAGGCGACAGCGAGGGCTGTCTGCCGCGTCAGAGGACCCCGCCGGCCCGCACCCGCGACGCAGAAGGCGGCGGGCGGGACGGCGAGGTCGGGCCGGGGTCCGCACCCCACGCCTTCCCACACGCACCGCCGGCGGGCGGGGAGAGGAGAGACGAGGGGACCCCCGCGGGGCGGAGCGAGAAGGACGGTCCCGTTCGCCACGAACGTCCGCCCCTCGCCCGTCGCGGCTCGGACCCGGCCCGGGAGAGCACGACGTCACCACATCGATCACGAAGAGCCCCCCGGGAGCGGAGGCCGGCCGGCCGGCCAGCGAGCCGATCGGCTCCGGCCAACCCCCCACTCCGGGGAAGGGGCGGCGGACAACCCCGCGGAGACGAGAACGCCTGACACGCACGGCACGGAGCCAGCGGGGTGGGGTTGTCGCGGCCGCCCCGGGCGCCCGCAGCGGAGAGCGCACGGGGGCACGGTGGCCCTCGCCGCCTTCCCCGCCGCCCCCGGGTGGGTCAGAGACCCGGACCCGGGCCGGCACCGGGAGTCGGGACGCTCGGACGCGCGAGAGAACAGCAGGCCCGCGGGCCCCG
The DNA here is from genome assembly GCF_000001405.40 of Homo sapiens. NCBI lineage: Eukaryota > Metazoa > Chordata > Mammalia > Primates > Hominidae > Homo > Homo sapiens. The sequence continues at coordinate 436,277 of NW_021160023.1, read as the reverse complement.
GCAGGCGGCTCAAGCAGGAGCGCGGCCGGCTAGCCGGGTCACCGGTAGGCCAGAGCCCCGCGCGCATCCGGAGGCCCAACCTCTCCAGCGACAGGTCGCCAGAGGACAGCGTGTCAGCAATAACCCGGCGGCCCAAAATGCCGACTCGGAGCGAAAGATATACCTCCCCCGGGGCCGGGAGGTCGCGTCACCGACCACGCCGCCGGCCCAGGCGACGCGCGACACGGACACCTGTCCCCAAAAACGCCACCATCGCAGCCACACACGGAGCGCCCGGGGCCCTCTGGTCAACCCCAGGACACACGCGGGAGCAGCGCCGGGCCGGGGACGCCCTCCCGGCCGCCCGTGCCACACGCAGGGGGCCGGCCCGTGTCTCCAGAGCGGGAGCCGGAAGCATTTTCGGCCGGCCCCTCCTACGACCGGGACACACGAGGGACCGAAGGCCGGCCAGGCGCGACCTCTCGGGCCGCACGCGCGCTCAGGGAGCGCTCTCCGACTCCGCACGGGGACTCGCCAGAAAGGATCGCGGCAGAGGGACCGCTCCCCGGCACCCGGGGGACGGGGGCGGGACGGTCCCCGGCTCCCCACGGGGACTCGGAAACGAATTCGGCCGCCGCCTCAGACGGCCAGGATGAGCGCGGACCCGCGACCGGGCCGGGAAGGGCGTCCCCAGCCTCCCGCGCCACGCGCGGCGGGTCCCCGCGGGTCGCGGCTCGGGCCTCGGGAGCTACGGCGCGCTGGTCGACCGGCCCGGGCAGCCCCACGCCCGCCGCGGGCCCAGAAGCGCAGCGACAGCCTCTCCCCCACATAAACCTGCACGCCAGAGCTGTGACTCACAAGCGACGCGCCACAGCTCTGGCGCCACCGGGCCAGCCGGGCTGACGACCGCGGGCTTTCCGGAGCTCTGCCTAGCTCACAGCGGGGACGGTCCCCTCCCTCGGCAGCTGCCACCGCAGCTCCGGAAGCCGAGAGCACGATCTCAAAGCGGCCGCCAGATGGAGCCCGACAACCGCCGCGGACGTCAGCGAGACAGATCCGGCTGGCAGGGCGGCCCGTGGACCGCGAAAGCGAAACCGTGAGTCGAGAAGCTCTTCCCGAGGCCGAAAACGCAGCCCCTCTGCCCCAACCCCACACAAACGGTGCCCAAAACGCGTCTCTGCCTCGACCGCGACAGAGTCAGAAGACAACCCACGGCGCGTGGGTGTTTGGAGATGCCTCTCGGAAGCAGGGAGGGAGGGAGGGAGGGAGGGAGGGAGGGAGAAAGAACACACAAGGACTCGGTCGCGGGTCGCTGCAGACACACGGAGAGGCAGAATGCGTAGGCTCTTCCGGAATCCACGCAGAGACAGACGGGGGGAGGGGAGTGGGGAAAAGAGACAGATGGCGAAAGGGAAGGAGGGAGGGAAGGGAGCAGGGAGGGAGGGAGGGAGGGAGGGAGGAAGACAATGGAGAAAAGAGAGACAATTTAGAAAACGTAGATACACAAAGTAAACTTCTGAAACACTCCATTTTTTAAAAGACAGACGGGAAGGAAAGAAACACGAAAAAGAGAGAAAGAATGAGGAAAGAAACGAAGGAAAGAAGGGAAAAAGAAACAGAGAGGAAAGAAAAAAGAAGGAAACACAGGGAACGAAAGAGAAATAAAGCACGAAGGAAAAAAGGACAGAAAGAGAGAAAGAAGGAAAGGAAGAGAGGAAGAAAAACCTAAAGAAGGAGAGAAAGGAAGAAAGGAAGGAAGAAAAACACGAAGGAGAGGAAGAAAGAAAACAGAGATAACTACGTACGCTCGTTCATTTACACACATAAATACGACGCTTTTCATACGTAAAATAAACGTCTTTATCGACGATCCCTTCTTTATAGAGCGATGTGTATTTATTTGTATAACACAGACACCTACATCTATCATACAGAAGTCTATTTCCATACAACCGATACGTATTTACCATACGCAAGAGTATTCAATGCAGAGATACACGTTGTCGTTGTTTGCATATAAGCGTACAGAAACGTTTACATTAATACATATAAGTAAACGCGTGGAAACGAAAGAAATAAAAAAGCGAAATGAGTCAACAGGCCGGGCACGGTGGCTCACGCCCGTCATCCCAGCACTTCGAGAGGCCGAGGTGGGCGCATCACAGGAGGTCGGGAGTTGGAGACCAGCCTGAGCAACATGGAGAGACACGGCGTGCCTACTAAAAACACAAACATCAGCCAAGCCAGGCGTGGGGGTGCCTCCCTGTAATCCCCGCTAATCGGGAGGCTGAGGCAGGAGAAGCGCTCGAACCCGGGAGGCGGAAGGTGCGGTGAGCCAAGACCGCGCCATTGCACTCTAGCCGTGGAAACAAGAGTGAAACTCTGTCTCAAAAGGACGAAACAGAAAGAAAGAAAGAAAGGAAGGAAGGAAGGAAGGAAGGAAGAAAGAAAGAAAAGAAAGAAGGAATGAATGAAAGAAAAGAAAGCAAGAAAGAAAGAAAGAAAGAAAAAGAAAAGAAAGAAAGAAAAGAAAGCAAGAAAGCACGAAAGCAAGCAAGCAAGAAAGCAAGAAAACAAGGAAGCAAGAAAGCAAGCAAGAAAGAAACAAAAGAAAGAAAGCAAGAAAACAAGAAAGCACGAAAGCAAGCAAGCAAGAAAGCAAGAAAACAAGGAAGCAAGAAAGAAAGAAACAAAAGAAAGAAAGAAAACAAGAAAGCAAGAAAGCACGAAAGCAATCAAGCAAGAAAGCAAGCAGGAAAGAAACAAAAGAAAGAAAGAAATCGAGAAAACAAGAAAGCACGAAAGCAAGCAAGCAAGAAAGCAAGCAAGAAAGAAACAAAAGAAAGAAAGAAAGAAAGAAAACAGGAAAGCAAGAAAGCACGAAAGCAAGCAAGCAAGAAAGCAAGCAGGAAAGAAACAAAAGAAAGAAAGAAATCGAGAAAACAAGAAAGCACGAAAGCAAGCAAGCAGGAAAGCAAGCAAGAAAGAAAGAAAAGAAAGAAAGAAAGAAAGAAAACAGGAAAGCAAGAAAGCACGAAAGCAAGCAAGCAAGCAAGAAAGCAAGCAAGAAAGAAACAAAAGAAAGAAAGAAAGAAAGAAAACAGGAAAGCAAGAAAGCACGAAAGCAAGCAAGCAAGCAAGAAAGCAAGCATGAAAGAAACGAAAGAAAGAAAGAAAGAAAGAAAACGGGAAAGGAAGAAAGCACGAAAGCAAGCAAGCAAGCGAGCGAGAGAGAGAGAGAGAGAGAGAGAGAGAGAGAGGCTGGGCGCGGTGGCTCACGCCTGTCATCCCAGCACTTTGGGAGGCTAAGGCAGGCGGACCACCTGAGGTTGGGAGTGGGAGACCAGCCTGACCAACATGGAAAAACACCGTCTCTACTAAAAGTACAAACATCAGCCAGGCACGGTGGCCCATGCCTGTAATCCCAGCTAATCAGGAGGCTGAGGCAGGAGAATCGCTTGAACCTGGGAGGCGGAGGGTGCGGTGAGCCGAGATCGCGCCATTGCCCTCTAGCCTGGGCAACAAGAGTGAAACTCTGTCTCAAAAAAAAGAAGAAGAAGAAGAAGAAAAAGAGAAAGTAATAAAGAAAGAAAGAAAGAAAGAAAAGGCAAGGCCAGGCAAGGCCAGGCAAGGCAAATCTACCTGCTTTCACTACATCTGGGGAGAATCAGGAAAGTCCCCAACAACAACAAGGCCTAAAGTGGAGCTGCCATCTGTCAAACCCGAGCGGAAGAGTCCACGCGGGTTAAAGACACGAAGAAAGACAAGGAAACCCCTGACCAAGGAGAAGAACAATCGGGCCCAGCCAGGGTCTGTCTCCCGGGGTTGTCTGGGCAACCAGGGAGGGCGGGCCTCCGAGACTCCGTCTCGAAACATCAATCACGATAATAACATAAAATGAAGTTAAAAAAAGAAATCACGCATAATTCCTAACGTGTTTGAGGCCTCGAAAGGCGAGAGGCGTATGTGTACGTCACGGTGGGGTTGTTCTGTTTTGTTGTTTTTTTCTTTTTTCTTTTCTTCTTTTTCCCCAGAAACTCACTTTTTAATTATTTTGTTGCGTTTCATTTTCATTTTCATTTTGCCTTCAAGTCCAGCGTCGCAAGCATGGCAATACCCCTTCTCTACTAATGTTCAAAAATTAGCAGGGCATTATGGCGCGTGACTGTAATCCCGGCCACTCAGGAGGATGAGACTGGAGAATCGCTTCAACCCGGGAGATATTTGCTGCAGTGAACCCAGTGCACCACTGCATTCCAGCCTGGGTGGCTGAGCGAGAGTCCGTCTTAAAAAAAAAAAAAGACACAAGAAAGAACAGACCAAAATACTCCATTGTTTCAGAACATTTCCCCAGAAGACCCCAAACGCCCTGAGTCAGGTCAAGGAGGTGGTGCTTTATTTTACTTGTCTCTCTCTCTTTCTCTCTCTCTCTCTTTCTTCCCTAACTGTTATTTGTTTTTGAAGCATACATGTGCAAGATTGTTTCATAGGTAAACTTCTGAGTAGGGGGTTCAGTGTGCCGATGATTTCCTCACCCGGATTCTCAGCGCAGTCCCCTACAGTTTTTGTGTTCTGCTCGTTTTGCTTTGTCCTGAAGCTGTCTGTCCTTCCACACGTCCTCCCTCAGGTAGGCTCCTGCGTCTCTCGTCCCCCTAGTTCTTCGCATGCATTCTCATTATGTAGTTCCCACTTATGTGTGAGAACACGCGGTATTTAGATGATTATTGTTTCATCTTCGGTGGTGGTGATGAAAGAGGCATGACACTACATCGACCCTTAGGACGCTCCCCTCCATCCCCACCCTACACCCCCTCCCCACGCACACCGTCTTTCCTGCACCCCCTCCTGAAACCCAACAAACGAAGAAAGACAGAAATTAAAGTAAGAGTTCAGCCACCAAGGCGGTGGTGGGGGGGAATCTCAAACGGTGAGCAGGCGATGGGAGTATGGGGATGTCATGGCCTAGGTAGCAACAATAGGGGACCGACTTTCCAGCCCCCACCCCACACTCCCTAATCCTCAGCCATCACTTTGGAGTTCATCCAAGGAAGGCTGGTCTCAGGGACTACATACCTAACCTCTCTGGGCTTCTATAGGATAAGATGTTATGGCCAGACGCGGAGCTCACGCCTTTAATCTCAGCACTTTGGGTGGTCAAGTTGGGTGGTACGCCTCAGGTTGGGTGTTCTAGACCAGCCTGACCATTATGGAGCTACCTAGTCTCTATGAAAAAAAAAAAATTAGCCAGGCCTGGAGGTGTTTGCCTGTGGTTTCAGCTACTCGAAAGGGTGAAGACTGGAAAATCTCTTGAACACAGGCGGCAGAGGTTGCGGTGAGCTGAGGTCACGCCACTGAACTCCAGCCTGGGCAATAAGAGCGAAACTCCACCTGAAAGACAAAAAAAAAAAAAAAAAATGAAAAGGAAAGAAGATTTTATGAAGTATAGTTTATACCAATCGGCTCTCACTGTACCTTGAGAGATTCCGAAAATCGCTACTTAATGACCGAAGAAAACACCAGCTAACAGGTTTTGGGGAAAATACACATCTTCCTAAAATTGGTAAAATCTACTTCAACTGAAAAGAGATAAGTAAAGTAAAAACTACAAACAAAACAAAACGTAAAAACAAACACAGACCAAGGCATCGCTTGTGGAAATATTATGTAAGCAAATTGTCACTTTTTAGAAAGCATTTCTATGTTGGGCAAATACCAGTAAGGCCCAGGGAAGATCTGTGAAATGTGGCAGCATGCACCATTTTAAGGGCTGAAATCCATCTGTGTGTCTCCTTTCATCACAACTCTTTTTTTTGGGCGGGCGGATACCTGGAGTTCATGAGTTCAAGAGCAGTCTGGGCAATATAGCAAAATTCTGACTACTAAAAAGGCAAATGTTAGCTGGGTATGGTGTCACACAGAACTATGTTCCAAGAGGAAGCATCACAAATACCCATGGTCCGCAGTCAAGAAATGAACTGAGTTTACAAGTTTGTAGTGTCATTGCTGCCTCGAAAGGTGAGATGCATATGTTTGTGTCACTGCGGGTTTCTATTTCTTCTTGGAAACTCACTTATTTTTAATTACTTTTTTTTTTTTTTAGATGGAATCTGACTCTGTCACCCAAGCTGGAGTCCAGTGGCATGATCTGGGCTGACTGCAATCTCCATCTCCCGGCTTCAACAGATTCTACTACCTCAGCATATAGAGTAGCTGGGAGTAGAGGTGTGTGACACCACACCTGGTTAATTTTTGTATTCTTCATACAGACAGAGTTTGACTATGTTGGCCAGGCTGGTCTCAAACTCCTGACCTCGTAATCCTCCCACATCCGCCTAGCAAACTGCTGAGATGAGAGGAGTGGCCCACTGCACCCAGCCTACTGGTTTATTTTTAAAAATAGCAATTTGGGTCGGGCGCAGTGTGTCTCGCCTTTCTATATCAACCAACATTCTTTCTCGAGTCTGATGACCTGGGATCTCCCAGCACTTTGGGAGGACGAGGCCACAGGATTCCTGGAAGTTGGAGTTCAAGACCAGCCTGGGCAACATGGGAAAACCCTGTCTTTACTAAAAAGGTAAAAGTTAGCTGGGTATGGTGGCACGTGCCTGTTATCCCAGCTACTCGAGAGGCTAAGGCAAGAGAATCGCTGGAACCTGGGAGGCGGAGGTTGCAGTGGCCCGATACTGCGCCATGGCCTGACCAACAGAACAAGACTCCATCTCAAATAAATTAATAAATACGTTAGTTAATCGAAAAGTTTAAAAAGAAAACTTCAAGGACGTTGCAGGAATGCACGGGAATGCTTCTCTCATTCCTAAAGATCAGAGCAGAAACACAGTACCATCAGGTTGAGATACAGGCCATTGTGAATCTCTTCTCACTGTGCTCAACTGACACCAAAGAAGGGCAGGTTTCCATGCCGCCCGTTCATCATCACCGCTCTCGTCAAGTATAATTGCAGAGTCATGACTACACAGAGATCTCTCAACCCACCAACTGCGTCCTTACTTGTATGAGTGCAGTTGAAAGAATAAACAGGGCATTTAGCGAAGTAATCATCATATGTTCTTTTGTCTCTCGTGTCTCTCATGAAACCAATCACATTCGTGGACCACTTTTTCCCCACCCTTCGAACATCCACAGAGCACCAAAATAAAAGAGCAGTGAATGCCTTTTACGCGACAAGGAGGAAAAACAACAAAGTGAAAGTCACAGAGGCTTGTGATACACAGGGAGATACAGAATAAGGAGAATTTTCCAAAATCCACACAAAGACAGACAGACAGAGGGATGGAAAGAAAGAAATGAAGAAAAGAGAGAGAGAGTAAGGAAGATCAAGAAAAAGAAAATAGACAGACAGAGATGTAAAGGGAAGAAAGATGAAAAAGAAAACCAAAAGACATAGAAACAGAAAAAAAAAGAATGAGAAATGAGAGAAAAAAGGGAGGAAGAAAAAGAGAGAAGAAAAAGAAAAGACAGAAAGAAAGAGAAAGAAAAAAAGAGAAAAAATGAAGGAAATAAAAAAGAGGGCAGGGCATTGTGGCTCACACCTATAATCCCAGCACTTTGGGAGGCTGAGTTGGAAGAATTGCTAGAGCCTAGGACTTTGAGACCAGCCCTGGCAACACAGTGAGACCCCGTCTCTACTGAAAAAGAAAAGAAAAGAAAAAAATCCGGGCATTGTGATGGCAGGCGCCTGTGGTCCCAGATCCTTTGGAGCCTGAGTTGAGAACATCGCTTGGGGTCGGGAGGTGGAGGCTGCAGCGGGTCTTGGTCAGACAAATGCTCTGCAGTCTGTTTCCGAGGCTGTCTTGAACTCCCGAGCTCTAGCGAACTGCCCTCCTCAGCCTCCGAAATTGCAGCCGCCACAACCAACGGTCCTGAAGGTGTCATTGACAGATTTTAGTAAACAGGGTGTTTCGCCATATTGCGAATTTGAACCCAGGCATTTGAAGCTGCAGTGACCCAAAGTCGCGCCACTGCACTGCACTCTGGGTGATAGAGGAAGACTCCATCTCTAAATAATTACATAAATAATAAAAACAATAACAATAATGACAAACAATAATACAAAGAAATAATAAGCAGCAATAATAATAAACAAACTCGTGGGAGTGAAAAACTATAAAAGGTAATTTAGATCACAGTTAATTGCAGTTTATTTCAAGGAATTTTTTTCTTTAACCTGTCTCTCTTACCTTCTGAAACACTCAGACTGGAGGGCAAGGCATCATCACGGCTCACTTCAGCTTCGACATCACAGAATTAAGTGATTCCTGTAGTCTCAGCCACTTGGAAGGCTGAGATAGGAAGATCACCTGAGGGAGTCCTGGAAAGTCGAGGCGGCTGTAAGCCGAGATTGCATTCTTACACTCCAACCTGCCTCAAAAACTACAAATAAATAAAAGGTAAATGTAAAACAACAGCAACTTCAGTGTGTAGAAAGAGGAGCAAGAAAAATAAAAGAAAAACAAAACGAAGAGAAACTGAAAGTACTGTGGAAACAGTTGGAGAGGAAGAAACAACGCAAGGAAAAAGCGACACCTAGTGAATGCGGGCGGTACTGCTGCTGACCAAAGTTATCTGGTCTACCTTAGAAATCCCAAGTTGACGGTCAAGTCCAACGCTTGCCGCGGACATCAGGTGGGCACGGCGACCAGAGACCTGAGGACTGGGGCCTTAGGCCCTGGTCCCAGGTCTTCCAGACAGAGAAGCCCGCGGCCGTGTCAACTGGATGTTGCTTGCTTCCCGCAGTCGGCTGATTCGCGGGCTGATCGGGAAGCCAAAGGCCAGCATCTAATCGACAGGGTCCACCCTAAAGACCAAATGTGGTGCTCGCGGAGGGAAGCGATCAGACGCAGTTGGAACCTTATCACACAGAACCGGCCCAGGTTTGAGGCCGTCTAACTTGGCAGACCTGCCAGCCATTTCCCCGCAGTCCGCTGGTTGACCCGGACAGAGAAGAGGAGTAAAGACACAAGGGTAGTGACTAGCTAGTCTTTCATCCCAGCACCCCTGAGGCGGGGAGAGGGACTGTGACCCCAACAGCCACCCACGGGCATCGCGCGAACACTACTCAGGCAGGGACTGCAGGGGCAAAACCTCTGACACCCGCGCCTCAGCCATTCGCACGAGGCTCGAAGAATCCGGTCCCAACTCGTGGAGGAATTCCCAGCGGGATGGGAGAAAGAAGCTCAATCAGAGAGGTGGAACATCGAGCAGGGGCGCCAACCCTACCTCGCAACCCCCAGCGCTGCATCTTGGAAAGCCTGCTGTTGGGGAACGACCCCTCCCAAATGCACGGCCGACGCCAATGTTATCTCGCGAGAGACAGCCCTGCATGCCCTGGGGCTCCGGGGCGGGGGGCCTGAGCAGGCCCGGGAACTAAGTCCCCGGGGGCAAAAGGAGGAAAGAAGGAAGGTAGAGGTCCAGGGCTGAATTATACAGGACACGCCACAACGCTAGTTTTCCCGCACACTGGTTGAGAGCCCCTTGTGTGGAGGGCTGACTTTCAATAGGTTGCAGTGAGGGAGTTGCTCTGCTCCATAGGAAACCCTGACCCAGAAGCAGGGCGTTTACCAATAGTTTAGTATCAGATTCCCCATAAGCATGTTATGTGACGGGCCAGGGAGCAAACGCCTTTCTGGCCGCACCCCGTTTTTTAGGATGGGGGGCCGCACCCCATTTTTTAGGATGATAAGACCGGAGCAAGGTCTTGGCGCACAGCGGGGCGGAGCGTCCGGCCGGTGGCAAAGGCTGGGGACTGGCTATCTGAGGCCAACCGAGTCTTGCCAGCGCTGCTGCATCCTTTCTTCTGGGCGGGATTCTGATTTAGAGGCGTTCAGTCATAATCCCACAGATGGTAGCTTCACCCCATTGGTTCCTCAGTCAAGCACATACACCAAATGTGTGAAACTTTGATTCCTCTCATACTCAGCAGGATTACCATGGTAGCAACACATGGGCAACAACACATGGAGAACACACGCAGTAAAACTAACCTGTCTCACATGGGTCTAACCATGATGTTTTCCAGGGCATGCACTCCGCTTTTAGATGAATCCATTCCACTTTGCCTTGCCCTTCACAAAGAAAAGAGAACTCGCTGGCCACAGTGGCTCACGCCTGTAATCCCGGCACATTGAAAGGCTGAGGCTGACGGATCACCTGATGGCAGGAGTTCGAGTCCAGCGTGGCCAACATGGTTAAACCCTGTCTCTATGAAAATACAAAAATTAGCTGGGCATAATAACGGGTGCCTGTTAACCCAGCTCCTCGGTAGGCTGAGGCAGTAGAATCGCCTGAAACCAGGAAGCGGATGTTGCAGTGAGCCGAGATTGCTCCATTGGGCTCCATCCTGAGCCTCTAAGCGAGACTCCATCTCAAAAAAGAAAAAAAAAAAAAAAAAAAAAAACGAGAACTCTCTCTAGGGCTCCCACCTGCTTTTGCAGAATCAGAGAATGTGATTGCCGGCAAAGGTTGAGGGGAGGGCGCAGGGGAAAGAAGGGGGAGGAGCAAAGGCTGGAGACACAATAGCTCACTCTGGAACCTTTCCAAGTTTAGTGGGGACAATTTTGAAACTAGCTGACTCTGGAAATTACACATAATTCATAGTATTATTGCTTCTTTGAAAGGTGAGCGGTTCATGATTTTTTTTCTCAGCATTTATTCATTTACTTGTAATAAGTGCATTTAGTTTCATACAGTTTACATACAACCGGTTTGACTGTATCTGCAGAGATTTAGGATAGTTTTTCTTAATGGTAAGCCCTAGGGTGGAGCTACAATGCACTTTCCGTTGTGAACCCTGAAAACTTGAGAGAGGTCTCAGTTAATTTAGAAAGTTTACGTAACCAAGGTTCAGGACGCATACCCGTGACAGCCTCAGGAGGTTCTGAGGACATGTGCCTAAGGTAAACAGAGAACATTATCGTTTTATACATTCTAGGGAGACATGAGACATCAATCAAAGTATGCAAGATGAACATTGGTTCGGTCTGCAAAGGCGGGACAAATTAGCAAACGCGGGAAGACTGAAAGTGAGGAGGGGACTTCCTGGTCAAAGGTAGTTAAGAGACAAATGGTTGCATTCTTTGGAGTTTCTAATTAGCCTCTCCAAAGGAGGCAATCAAATATACATTTATCGCTTGAAACCAGGAGGCGAATGTTGCAGTGAGCCGAGATTGCTCCACTGGGCTCCAGCTTGAGCATCTGAGCGAGACTCCATCTCAAAAAAGAAAAAAAAAAAGAGAAAAGAGCAGAGGAGTGACTTTGAATAGAATGGCAGGTTGGCCCTAAACAGTTGCCAGCTTGACTTTTCCCTTTACTTTAGTGATTTGGAAGCCTCAAGATTTATTTTTCTTTCACACACACAATTTTTAAAACCCAGGTAGAACTGTTCATGCTTACTAAAAAAAAAAAAAAAAAAAAAAAGGAAGAAAGAAAAACAAATGATAGCCTAGGCGCCCTGGCTTATTTCTGTAAACTCAGCACTTTAAGAGGCTGAGGTGGGTGGATCATCTGAAGTCAGGACTTCGAGAACAGACTGGCCAACATGGCGAAATGACGTCCCTACTAAAAATACAAAAATTTGCTGGGAGTAGAGGCAGGCACATGTAATACCAGCTAGTGGGGAGGCTGAGGCAGGAGAATCGCTTGAATCCAGGAGGCAGAGGTTGCAGTGAGCCGAGATGGCGCCATTGAACTTCAACCTGGGCTACAAGAGCGAAACTGTCTCTGTCTCTAAATAAATAAAGAAATAAGCATTCCCAGCCAGGGTGGAGGTTTCCTAGGCAACAAGGCATAGGGGGAGGGACAGAAGGAGTGCCTCTGAGGTCAGGGTGGGGCCCGAGAGAAACCAGTTTTCCCTGGCTGTGCGCGGGCGGCCAGAAGTTTTGGTGTGATGCCTCCATTTTCAATAACAGTGACCGCTAGGTGACGCCAAATGACAACCGAACGACGTTCCAGCCTGGAATGAGTGGGGTCACTGGTTTAGGGGTTGTCAAGGAAGGAGAAAGAGATGGAGGCCCATGGGGTCGCCGGTCTTCTGATCTCTCCTGGATTACGTTTCTGGGCCCGAGACACCCTCCCAGACAATCCCCGCAGCTCTTCAACCAGTGTCCCTGGGGAAAAGATGATCAGTTCTCAGAAAACATTCAGACAGGCAAGAACATGCGCTCACGTAAGCACATGACAAGTATACAACTTTATATGTGATAGTGAGCTTTCTTTTGCAAAATGTCTTCGTGATGCATTTCACTACATAGTATTGTTGAAAACATCAAATTATAGGAGTGAGCACAGTGGCTCAAGCCTGTAATCCCAGGACTTCTGAAGACCAAGGTGGGAGGCTGGATAGAGGACAGGAGTTTGAGACTAACCTGGGCAACACATCGAGAGAGATTACCACTACTTAAAAATATTGCCCAGCATTGTGGCACATGCCTATATTTCCAGCTACTCAGGAAGCTGAGGCAGGAGGATTGCTTAAGCCCAGGATTCAACGTTGCAGTGAGTGAGCTGTGAACAGGCGACCAGAGTTTTTTTGTTCTCTACAGCTTACATTTTCAATAACGGTTGCCGCTAGTTGTCGCCCAAAGACAACTAAAACACGTGTCATCCTGGAATACGTGGGATCCCTGATGGAGGGGTGGGTGAGGAAGTAGGAGGGGACGGAGGCACACGGAGTCGCCCATTTTCTCATGATTCCCGTTGGACTACTTTTCTGGGTGCAGAGCATCCTCCCAGAAAGTCCCCAAAACCATTCAACCAGAGCTCCTGAAAAAAACAGTCGCACTCTCTGCCCATCGGATCATCCGGAATTTCCATTTATCCATTGAGAAGAATGCTCCATTGGAGTTTGGCGCAGGTTACGGTTACAGGCAGGGGCTGCCTCAGACAGAAGTCTAGTCTACAGAGTTTCACAGTAGACCCTAGGTTCAATCTCTCCCAAACTCAGAGTAGCAATATCTGTCACAGTAGAATGAAGTGCATGAAATGCGTGCTCCGAAGAAAGCGTGTTTCACACAGATGATTTGCACACTTATTCTTGTCCCTAGGCCAGTTGTTTCTTCCAAAATACCCATTACTCAATCGTTCACCCTCTCGTGAACCACTTAGGAATCTTGTTCTATGAATCCTGGAGCTTCAATATTTGACATCTTCAGAAGAACATGAATGCTATCCTAGCCTGGTAGCAATAAGGTACCATTTCTCAGAAAACACGCACCTATGCACACAAGCAAGCATGTATACACACATGCCCGCATCATATCTATACAATTTTACACTGTGATAGTGAGCTTTCTTTCCCTAGATAACTTCGTAATTGCTTTCGCTACATAGTATTGTTTAAAATATCAAATTATAGGTGCTGGGTGTGGAGGTTTGACTCTAGTCAAAGCACTTTGCAGGCAAAGCTGGGAGAATCGCTTGAGGTGGGGAGTGTGAGAACAGCCTGGAAAACATAGCAAAATCTAATCTCTACTAAAAATAAAACAAAATTAGTTAGGCGTTGTGGGGTGCACCTATAGTCTCAGCTACTTAAGAGGTTGAGGCAAGGATTGCTTAAGAACAGGAGTTTGAGATCCTATGATACTCACTCCTGCAACACTGCTGTGGCCCATGAATTGGCTACATGACCAATGACACGGAAGGAACATGATTACAAAATTCCTGGCAAAAAAAAAAAATAGAAAAACTTTTGTGGATAAACTTCTCTCACTGGGTAAATTACATAAAGATATGTCTGTTCTATATGAATCCCTACTAAGGGGTAACCGTATCAGAGCATGATTTTGATAATGATGTGGACAGAATGTCTTGTTCCGTGAGTATGGGTCATTCTTACTTCCCTGTCACCCCCATCATCACCCAATGGGCTTATAAACAAGGTGAACATAGTAGCAGAAATAGAAGCAATGCACGGGCTAAGCAATATGAACTTTGAATCCCAAAGGCCAGTCTGGCTACAGTCAATTCTGAATGTTTAATTTGACAGCAGCACAGATCTACACTGAGTCTTTGATATGACATCATTTCCAGGGTGATCCACCAGGCACCTGGTAGTAAATTTATTACGTTGAATAACTTTTATAATATAGGCGGCAACAGTTTGTACTCACTGGAGTAGGCTCTTACTATGGATACAAATTTGCTTTCCCTGGGTGGAATTCTGCCAAAACTACCCTCCATGGACTCACAGAATCCCTCATCCATCCCTATGATATTCCACTTAGCATTGCTCAGACCAAGAAACTCACTTCACAGCCAAAGTGTAGCAGTGTGCTCATCTTCACGGATGTCAGTGGACTTACCATGCTTTCCATTATCTGGAAGCAACTGGATTAATAGAATGATAGGTTTGTCAGCATTTCCAGCCACCCTAACACCTATATCTCCCTGTGCACCCTAAGGGACTCCACAGAATGGTGAATTAGATACATATATCCAAAGGAACTACATACATTTGTGTTCCCCCATCCAAACCTCCAATCGTATGTAGTTTAATATTTAAAGTTGCTGAAGTTAGCTGTAGACAAAGGACAAAAATTAGAAGTGCAGAGGGAATGGGTTCCTTCATGTGGGTAAAGGAGAGACTTACAAAACCTGCTTAATGTGGCTTTTTGCAGTCTTTTTGCTGCTCACAGCTGAACCACATGAACTTCTACTGTTTTGGACTCATCCAAACCTCAACATTAGCTTTAAGAGCTCCTTGATTTTCCAGCAGGAGAAAAGTGAACATGCAAAGCTCTCAGGTTCATTGTTATAATCCTCTCAAGGATCAGTCTCATTAGCAGACAGCAGAGTCTTGATCTCTTGCTTCACCAAACTAACCACTTGGCCGAGAGAATTTGCTGTTGGTCCTGGGGGAACTTCTCATATCCCTTGCAAGCTCTTCAAGTATTTGTTCCTTTTCCCCTTTCAGAAAGTTGTGTTTATCTCAGCATGCCATAGTCATCTCCAAAATTAAATAATTGTGACGTATCTAAGATTTTATAGCATTTGTAAACAACATATTAACCTTCCATTTTCATCGATGCTGGTAGAAGGCATGAGACACTGAAGTATGAAAAAAAATACCTACTATTTACTGCTTACCTGGAGGCAAAAGCCTCATATTTGTATTAGTTCTCCTTGTCCATACTACGTTTTTTGAAGGATTTCAAAAGGCTCATATGGACATTGTACATGGGGAAGATTTGTGTCATAGCTGAGCAGACTCAAGACTAAGAAACCTCAATCTTTTTAAAGTAGGTTACATGGAAGCCTGTCCAACCTTTGCGTCACAAAGAAAAATTGTCTTTATTATATTGATTGAGTAATTTATCTGCCATTCACCTGAAGAGAAAAACTACTACCCTTTTTCCAGGTTATTTGTGTACAAAAATCTTTGAAAAATAACGTGGAACAGGACAGGTATGTGATGTAATCCACAACAAAACAACAAACTCTAAGAGACTTGTGGAGAACTACATCTCAGTAGCATGCATCTTTCCCATTAAATGTTGCACTAAGCAATCCTGTGATAAAAGACAATCCATTGAAGACTTTCGACATGAAGACTAACCTCGGTTGTTTTGTGTCGTGGGATTGTTCAAGTGATTCTCCAGTGTCAGCCTCCAAAGTAGCTGGGAATACAGTCTCCCAAGACCACGCTCAGCTTATTTTTGTATTTTTAGTAGAGGCGGGGTTTTACCATATTGGCCAGACAGGTCTCGAACTCCTGATCTCAGGTGGTCCGCCTGCCTTGGCCTCACAAAGTGCTAGGAATATAGGCATGAGCCTCCGTGCCCGGCCCCAGAAATGAAAGTTCTAGTGCGCAGTAATGTAATTCTGACAGATAAATGACAGGTGAGAGTAAGTGAAAAATCTAACACAATTTAACATTTTTACATATTTAGACATATTGAAATTGGTTAGCTTATTGGAAAAAGTTAAATGACTAGTAATATATACAGCATATTTATTCTGAATGAATTGCTAATCTAGATTTGAGACATGAAATAATTATTTTTACAACACAGAAACATAAACTGCATTTCCATATACAATTAACAATTTGACAGTAAATTAAGAAAACAATTGTTCGCAACAACATTAAAATAATATAATTCTTCGCAATAAATTTAATAAGGAGGTAAATATCTTGTACAATAAAAAATACAGGATCAGAATGTTTATGAAAAAAACTAAAAAGGACTTAAATAACTGGCAACAAATTCCATGTTCCTGAACCGGAAGATTTAATGAAGTTAAGATGACAATACCACTGCCCAAAGGAGTGTACAGATGTACTGTAATCCCAAGTTTTCATTTTTCCAACTTTTCTTCTGCAAAAAGAAAATAGCTCATTTAAAACTTCATATGGAATTTGAACATCCTCTGAATGTACAGAATAATCTTGAAAAGAAGGACAAAATTAGGTGGCTCACAATTTTAAATTTGAAAACATAAAAAGCTACTAAAATTATAACAGTTTGATAGTGGCATAAGAACAATTGTGGAGATCAAATAAATAAAATAGATACTCCAAAAAACCCTTTCATAAATTATTGTTTGTCTTTTTAAAAGTGTGTCTTAATCATTATGTAAAGACAGTTTGTTACACAAGAAATGCTGGGAAAACAAGTCCACATTTAAACCAGTAAAGTTGAATCTTTATCACATTCCAAGTAGAAAAATTAAATAAAAATTGATTAAAGATATAAAAACAAGTGTTAAACTTTAGTGGTTTCTAATAGTTGTTTTTATTTAACTGGGGACAGCACTAACATGAACAACTTTATACACACAAACTAGAAAACTTTAACGAAATAAATAGATTCCTAGATATACACACTCTCTCAAGATTAAGCCAGGAAGACAATGATTTCCTGAACAGACCAGTAAAAAACTCTGATATTAAATAGGTAATAAGTAGCTTGCCAATCAAAAAAAAAAGCTCTGGACTTTATGGACTTACAGCCAAATTCTACCAAATGTACAAAGAAGAGCTGGTACAATTCCTACAGAAACTATACCCAAAAATTGAGAAGGAGGGTCTTCTCCCCAACTCATTCTATGAGGACAGCATGATCTTGACACCAAAACAGGCAGAGACACAACAAAAACACAAAAAATTAGCCGGGCTTGGTAGCAGACACCTGTAGTCCCAGCTACTTGGGAGGCTGAAGCAGGAGAATGGCGTGAACTCAGGAGGCAGAGATTGCATTAAGCAGAGATCGCGCCAGTGCAATCCACTCCAGCCTGGGCAACAGAGGGAGACACCGTCAAAAAAAAAAAAAAAAGAAAGAAGGGAAAGAAAACTTCAGGCCAACATTCTTGACGAACATCAATACAAAAGTTCTCAACAAAATATTTGGGAGGCAAATCCAGCAGCACATCAAACAGGTAATCCGTCATGATCAAGTAGGCTTCCTCCTTAGGACGCAAGGTTGGTCCATCATGTGCAAATCAATAAATGTAATACATTACATAAACAGAACTAAAAACAAAAAAAAGATGATTATCTCAATAGACGCAGAAAATAATAAAAGCCGTCTATAAGAAACCCACAGCCAACAATGTGTTGAATGGGCAAAAGCCGGGAACATTATTTTTTAAAACCAGTAGAAGGCAAGAATGCCCTCTCTTGCCATTTCTATTCAACTTAGTATTGACAGTACTGACCAGAGCAATCAGGCTAGAGAAAGAAATCCGAAGAACATCCAAATAGGAAGAGAGAAAGCCAAACTATTTCTGTTTGCAGATAACATAATTCTCTATCTAGAAAACCCTGTAGTTTCATCTACAAAGCTTCTTTAGTTAACAAACAGCTTCAGCAAAGTTTCAAGATACTAAATCAATGTGCAAAGATCACTAACATTTTTCTACACCAACGATAGCCACACTGACAGCAAAATCAGAAAGGCCATCCCATTCACAATTGCCACTAAAATAATAAAATATCTGGAAATGCAGCTCACCAGGGAGGTGAAAGAGCTCTACAATGAGATTTACAAAACACTGCTCAAAGAAATCAGAGAAGATACAAACAAATGGAAAACCATCCCATGCTCACGGATAGGAAGATGCAATATCACTAAAATGGCTATACTTCACAAAGAAATTTACAGATTTAATACTATTTCCATCAAACTGCCAATGAAATTTTTTACGGAGCTAGAAAAAACTATTTGAAAACTCATATAGGCCGGGGGCTGTGGCTCACACCTGTAATCCCAGCACTCTGGGAGGCCAAGGGGTGTGGATCATGAGGTCAGGAGATCCAGACCGTCCTGGTCAACATGGCAAAACTCCTTCTCTACTAAAAATACAAAAAATAGCTGGGAGTAATGGCAGCGCTTGTAATCCCAGCTACTTGGGAGGCTGAGGCAGGAGAATCCCTTGAACATGTATATAATATATACGTATGTTATACATATATTTATTATACTTTAAGTTCTAGGGTACATGTGCACAACGTGCAGGTTTGTTACTTATGTATACATGTGCCATGTTGGTGAGCTGCACCCATTAACTCGTCATTTACATTAGGTATATCTCCAAATGCTATCCCTCCCCCCTCCCCCCCCAACAACATTCCCCAGTGGGTAATGTTACCCTTCCTGTGTCCAAGTGTTCTCATTGTTCAATTCCCACCTATAAGCGAGAACATGTGGTGTTTGTTTTTTTTTGTCCTTGTGATAGTTTGCTGAGAATTATCTTTTCCAGCTTCATCCATGTACACACAAAGGACATGAACTCATCATTTTTTATGGCTGCATAGCATTCCATGGTGTATATGGGCCACATTTGCTTGATCCAGTCTATCATTGTTGGACATTTCGGTTGGTTCCAAGTATTTGCATTGTGAGTAGTGCCACAATAAACATACGTGTGCATGTGCCTTTATAGCAGCACCTAACATGACTTTTCTTATTTTCTTAGATTGTGAGTTTCTTTCAGACTAGGACTCTGCTGAGTCAGCTCTCTGTCCTCCCTGTACTCCTTATCACAGTGCTTGGCTATGACAGATGTTTAATAAATATTTGAGAAACACAGTAAATCCATATGAGTGACACAATGTTACGGAAAACTCTGGTCATTCAACAAATTCTATTCTCCCATTTATTAGGGACACAGCAGAATTACATTTCTTAGCCTCATTTGCATGAGATGTGGAAACGTGACCAGTTATTGTTAATGGTTGTAGAGTGAGATGGATGTGAGTCACATTAAGATGAGTCCATCAAGTCTTCTCGCATGCATTTCTTAAAGTACTTTATTTTCAGGGGACTGAACACAAACGGCAACCACGACTCATGGATGATGAAGACAAATAATGAAAGAACTTTGAGTTTCTGAATGACCACATGGAGAGGAGGTGCCTTTTCAATTTGGCCACCGAACAACTCTGTGATGTGTGCTAAAAAGTGCTGTTAATCTACTGCAAATTAGGGATGTGCTGGTATTTGACAGTTCAGCATAATCTAAAACATGCACTTAAAAACCTATTCACTGAATTAATTTAAAAGGCATTTTTATAGTACACTTAAGATGACAAACGTTAAGGTGGTCTTGCAATTTTTACCCTTCCATTTTGACCGTACTATGTTATATTAGAGAACTTGAGCCACATAAATGATCAGTTTTTATTGCGTCTATTTGATTCTTCTCTCTTTTCTTCTTTACTAGTCTTGCTAGCAGTCTATCAATTTTGTTGATCGTTTCAAAAACCAGCTCCTGAATTCACTGATTTTTTGAAGGGTTTTTTATGTTTCTATTTCTTTCAATTCTGCTCTGATCTTAGTTATTTCTTGCCTTCTGCTAGCTTTTGAATGTGTTTGCTCTTGCTTCTCTAGTTCTTTTAATTGTGATGTTAGGGTGTCAATTTTAGATCTTCTCTGCTTTCTCTTGTGGGCCTTTAGTGCTATAAATTTCCCTCTACACGCTGCTTTGAATGTGTCCCATAGATTCTGGTATGTTGTGTCTTTGTTCTCGTTGCTTTCAAAGAACATCTTTATTTCTGCCTTCGTTTCGTTATGTACCCAGTAGTCATTCGGGAGCAGGTTGTTTGGTTTCCATGTAGTTGAGCGGTTTTGAGTGAGTTTCTTAATCCTGAGTTCTAGTTTTATTGCAGTGTGGTCTGAGAGAGAGGTTTTTATAATTTCTGTTCTTTTACAATTTGCTGAGGAGTGCTTTACTTCCAACTATGTGGTCAATTTTGGAATAAGTGCGGTGCGGTGCTGAGAAGAATGTATATTCTGTTGATTTGGGGTGGACAGTTCTGTAGATGTCTATTAGGTCTGCTTGGTGCAGAGCTGAGTTCAATTCCTGGATATCCTTGTTAACTATCTGTCTCATTGATATGTCTAATGTTGACAGTGGGGTGTTAAAATCTCCCATTACTATTGTGTGGGAGTCTAAGTCTCTTTCTAGGTCTCTAAGGACTTGCTTTATGAATCTGTGTGCTCCTATATTGGGTGCATATATATTCAGGATAATTAGCTCTTCTTATTGCATTGATCCCTTTATCATTACGTAATGGACTTCTTTGTCTCTTTTGATCTTTATTGTTTTAAAGTCTGTTTTATCAGACACTAGGATTGTAACCCCTGCCTTTTTCTGTTTTCCATTTGCTTGGTAGATCTTCCTCCATCCCTTTATTTTGAGCCTATGTGTGTCTCTGCACGTGAGATGCGTTTCCTGAATACAGAACACTGATGGGTCTTGACTCTTTATCCAATTTGCCAGTCTGTGTCTTTTAATGGGAGAATTTAGTCCATTTACTTTTAAGGTTAATATTGTTTTGTGTGCATTTGATCCTGTCATTATGATGTTAGCTGGTTATTTTGCTCGTTAGTTGATGCAGTTTCTTCCTAGCCTCGATGGTCTTTACAACTTGGCATGTTTTTGCAGTGGCTGGTACCGGTTGTTCCTTTCCATGTTTAGTGCTTCCTTCAGGAGCTCTTTTAGGGCAGGCCTGGTGGTGACAAAATCTCTCATCGTTTGCTTGTATGTAAAGGATTTTATTTCTCCTTCACTTATGAAGCTTAGTTTGAATGAATATGAAATTCTGGATTGAAAATTCTTTTCTTTAAGAATGTTGAATATTGTTCCCCACTCTTCTGGCTTGTAGAGTTTCTGCCGAGAGATCAGCTGTTAGTCTGATGGGCTTCCCTTTGTGGGTAACCCGACCTTTCTCTCTGGCTGCCCTTAACATTTTTTCCTTCATTTCAACTTTGGTGAATCTGACAATTATGTGTCTTGGAGTTGCTCTTCTTGAGGATTATCTTTTTGGTGTTCTCTGTATTTCCTGAATTTGAATGTCACCCTCCCTTGCTAGATTGGGGAAGTTCTCATGGATAATATCCTTCAGAGTGTTTTCCAACTTGTTTCCATTCTCCTCATAACTTTCAGGTACACCAATCAGATGTAGATTTGGTCTTTTCACACAGTCCCATATTTCTTGGAGGTTTTGTTCATTTCTTTTTATCTTTTTCTCTCTAAACTTCTTTTCTCACTTCATTTCATTCATTTGATCTTCCATCACTGACACCCTTTCTTCCAGTTCATCGAATTGGCTACTGAGGCTTGTGCATTCATCACGTACTTCTCGTACATTGGTTTTCAGCTCCATCAGGTCCTTTACGAACTTCTCTGCATTGGTTATTCTAGTTAGCTATTCATCTAATTTTTTTAAAGGTTTTTCACTTCTTTGCCATGGGTTTGAACTTCCTCCTTTAGCTCGGAGTAGTTTGATCGTCTGAAGCCTTCTTCTCTCAATTCGTCAAAGTCATTCTCTGTCCAGCTTTGTTCCATTGCTGGTGAGGAGCTGTGTTCCTTTGGAGGTGGAGAGATACTCTGATTTTTAGAATTTTCCGTTTTTCTGCTCTGTTTTTTCCCCATCTTTGTAGTTTTCTCTCCTTTGGTCTTTGATGATTGTGATGTACAGATGGGATTTTGTTGTGGATGTACTTTCTGTTTGTTAGTTTTCCTTCTAACAGTCAGAACCCTCAGCTGCAGGTCTGTTGGAGTTTGCTGGAGGTCCACTCCAGACCCTGTTTGCCTGGGTATCAGCAGTGGAGGCTGCAGAACAGCGGATATTGGTGAAAAGCAAATATTGCTGCCTGATTGTTCCTCTGGAAATTTTGTCTCAGAGGAGTACCCGGCCGTGTGAGGTGTCAGTCTGCCCCTACTGGGGATGCTTCCCAGATAGGCTACTCGGGGGTCAGGGACCCACTTGAGGAGGCAGTCTGTCTGTTCTCAGATCTCCAGCTGCATGCTGGGATAACCACTACTCTCTTCAAAGCTGTCAGACAGGGACATTTAAGTCTGCAGAGGATTCTGCTGCCATTTGTTTGGCTATTCCCTGCCCCCAGAGGTGGAGTCTACAGAGTCAGGCAGGCCTCCTTGAGATGCAGTTGGCTCCACCCAGTTGGAGCTTCCTGGCTGCTTTGTTTACCTACTCAAGCCACGGCAATGGTGGGCGCCCCTCCCCCAGGCTTGTTGTTGCCTTGCAGTTTGATCTCAGACTGCTGTGCTAGCAATGATTGTGGCTCTGTGGGCGTAGGACCCTCTGAGCCAGGTGCAGGATATAATCTCCTGGTATGCCGTTTGCTAAGACCTTTGGAACAGTACAGTGTTAGGGTGGGAGTCACCCGATTTTCCAGGTGCAATCTGTCACCCCTTTCTTTGACTAGGAAAGGGTATTCCCTGACCCCTTGCACTTCCTGGGTGAGGCGATGCCTCACCATGCTTTGGCTCACATGGGGTGCGCTGCACCCACTGTCCTGCACCCACTTTCTGACACTCCCCAGTGAGATGAGCCCGGTACCTCAGTTGGAAATGCAGAAATCACCTGTGTTCTGCATTGCCGATGCTGGGAGTTCTAGACTAAGGCTTTTCCTATTCGCCCATCTTGGCTCCACCCCCTCTCTAATTAAATTTTAATGTGAATAGTCTGAAATTATTTTTTCTATATCCTTCAGTTTTTTCATAATTCTTCTCTAACTTTTAGGTTCTATGTTTATGCCCCTTATATTTTCCAGAAATGTTTCTGAAGATTATTGCCCATTTTAAAGTTAAACTAATTTTTTATTTAGTTTTTTGTTTATTCTGTATTCTGCTTATCAATCGCTTGTCAGCTGTGTAGTTTGCACATATTTCCTCTCATTTTCTTTCTTTTTTTTTGAGACAGTCTTGCTCTGTCACCCATGCTGGAGTGCAGTGGCACGATCTCAGCTCACTGTAACCTCCACCTCCTGGGTTCAAGAGATTCCCTGGCCTCAGCCTCCTGAGCAATTGGGCTTTCAGGAACCACGCCCGGCTAATTTTTGTATTTTTAGTAGACACAGTGTTTCACCATGTCAGCCAGGCTGGTCTAGAACTCCTGACCTCAGGTGATCCACCAGCCTCAGCCTCCCAAAATACTGAGTTTATAGGTGTGAGCCATCGTCCCTGGCCAATAGAATATTATTTATACAATGGAGTATTAGCTAGCCATAAAAATAAATACAGAACTGATATGTGCCACAACATGGATAAATAATGAAAACACGCTCAAAGAGAAAAGCCAAAGAAAAAAGGTCACATATTATATTATTATATTTCTATAAAGTGACTAGAATAGAAAACTAGAAATAGAAGCCGGGTGTGATGGCTCACGCCTGTAATCCCAGCACTTTGGGTGGCCGAAGCAGGCAGATCACGACGTCAGGAGATCGAGACCATGCTGGCTAACATGGTGAAACCCTGTCTCTACTAAAAATACAAAGAAAAATAGCTGGGCGTGCTGACAGGCATCTGTAGTCCCAGCTACCCTGGAGGCTGAGGCAGGAGAATGGCGTGAACCAGGGAGGTGGAGCTTGCAGCGAGCCGAGATCGTGCCACTGCACTCTAGCATGGGTGACAGAGTGAGACACCAAAAAAAAAAAAAAAAAGGAAAGAAAGAAAGAGAGTACTAGAGATAGAAAGTCAATCAGTGGTTACCAAGGAAATTCGGTGGATGAATGATAAATTACTGCTTAATGGATATGGAGTTTTTTTGGTGAGAGGGTGATGAAACTATTTTGGAATTTGATAAGGGTGACAGTTGCATAGCATTGTAAATAAACTGAAAAGCACTGAATTTTACACTTTATATTAGATAGTATGTAGAACTCTATATTGTGTAAATTTTAGCTGACTAAAACATTTTAACAAGCAAAGAAAAATAAACTGTAGGCTTTGTGTGGTGGCTCACACCTATAATCTCAGTTTTTTTCAGAGGCTGATACAAGCAGATCACGAGGTGAAGAGATCGAGACCATCCTGGACAACATGGCGAAACCCCGTCTCTACTAATAATACAAAAATTAGCCAGGCTTGGTGGCACGCCCTTATATTCCCAGCTACTCAGGAGGCTGAGGCAGGAGAATCACTTGAACCTGGGAGGTGGAGGTTGCAGTGAATCACTTGAACCCGGGAGGTGGAGGTTGCAGTGAGCCGAGATCATGCCACTCCACTCCAGTCCCGTGAAAGAGCGAGAAGAGAGAGACTCTGATAAAGAAAGAAAGAAAGAAAGAAAGAAAGAAAGAAAGAAAGAAGAAAGAAAGAAAGAAGAAAGAAAAAAGAAAATAAGGAAAGAAAGAAAAGAAAGGGAGGGAGGAAGGAAGGAGAAAGAAAGAGAAAGAAAGAAAGAAAGAAAGAAAAGGAAGGAAGGAATGAAGGAAGAGGAAAGAAAGAAAGAAGAAAGAAAGAAACGGAAGGAAGGAATGAAGGAAGAACAAAAGAAAGAGAAAGAAGAAAGAAAGGAAGAAAGAAAAGAAACGAAGGAGAAAGAAAGAAAGAGAAAGAAAAAGAAGGAAAGAAAGAAAGAAGAAAGAAAGAAAAAGAAAGAAGAAAGAAAGAAAGAAGAAAGAAAGAAAGAAAGAAAGAAAGAAAGAAAGAAAGAAAGAAAGAAAGACAGAAAAAAGAAATACTATGAAACAGGAGGGCAAATGAGGGAGCCCTGGAAAACGATTCTGTCTCCACTTTCAAAAAAGATCGCCCCCTCCAAAAAAAAGATCCCAAAGCTCTGACCGAGAAGGTCTTCTCCTTGGATCCCAGAGCAGTGGTCTGAGGATCTGTCACATTCTACACCAGCCTGAGTGCTCAGTCCCGCACACCCCTAGGCCACTTTCTGCTCTGAAAGACCTTCGGAGGACACAGAGCAATTTCCAAAGTTCTGAGAGTACAGTGGTAATTGATAGACAGCAAGGTCAACTCACTTCTTTAAGCCTTTCAAATTTAGGGGTCACACAGTTCAATTATGTCAATTTGTACAGGGAAAAATTGAAGGTTTTCACTACTGTATTCCTCTCCATATTGGGTGTAGGGGGATTCCTTACCATTTTAATTATGCAGATTAATGAATGGAGAAAGTAAGGTTTTGTCCTTGGAAAGCTATCCTGGTGTTGGCTGCAGCCCAGTCAGATCCATGGAAGCCTTGAGCCTCTCAAGCCATCAGCCTATTGCCTTCCCCTGCCCATGTTATGGGTCCTGGGCATGTTACCAGAAGATGGGGTGCTTCTACCCCATGACAAAGCTGCCCCTATCCTCTATCTTTTTTCTTCTCATCACTCCATCAGCGTTAACTCCTCTTATGACCTTTAGCCTGAGAAGTCTGTGTGTGTATGCACAAACCTGTGGAATTCTATGATGCAGACATGAGTTTGCTTCATATGACGAGAAAATTGGCAAAAATCCCCAGGATCTCAGGGACTCATTCCCAAAACAAACCCCATGAGAGTGTTGAGCCCTGGCCTAGGAGGTCAGAATGCTCTTTTTTCCCTTGGACTCTGCCCACTTCATCATCTCTGGGCCAGTCCCTGCTTCTCTCCAGACCTCAGTTTTTCAGATATCCAATGAGATGTGAGATGTCAAAATGCTTAAGCCACAGCTCAACATGCATATGGTCTAACGTCCCTACCAACTAGGATTGGTGTAGCAAGGCTGTGATCAGGGTGTTCCCAGATCTTCCTCACTTGGGAAGAAATAGATGGGTTCTGCACTGGGCACATGGACCTTCTGTTCAAGAAGGGTCATACACACTTGATCTTTCAAGGCCCACAGACAATGTGTGCAAGTGAGCCCCACCTCCACCCCCAAACAGCTTCCATGGAGCATAACAATATGTCCCCTGTCCTCTGAGTCTGGAAAGTAGTGACATCCTCACTTAACACATGGATTGATGGACCCTTTGTATAATTAAATCTTCCCCACTACTGCCTCCACCACTATGCAGATAGAAAAAAGTCTTAGGAAAGTGACATAACATCCAGAATTACACAGAGATTCCATGGCAAAGCTAGCACTTTAGTTAGGATTACATTTTCCTACATATAGAAGAAAACCCAGACCGGGTGCTGTAGTTCACGCCTGTTATCCCAACACATTGGGAGGTTGAGGCAGACGGATCACCAGAGGTCTGGAGTTTAAGACCAGCCTGACCAACATAGAGAAACCCAGTCTCTACCAAAAATACAAAATTTTCCAGGCGTAGTGGTGCATGCCTGTAATCCCTGCTTCTTGAGAGGCTGAGGCAGGAGAATCGCTTGAACCCGGGAGGTAGAGATTGTGGTGAACCGAGATCGCGCCATTGCACTCCAGTCTGGGCAATAAGAGTGAAACTCCGTCTCAAAAAAATTAAAAAAGAAAACCCAATATAATAGTGCAGATAAGAGAGAGAATGCTTTCTTTCTCATAAATAAGGATGTTAGAGCTGGGCAGTCTGACTCTGAACTGTACACGAAGGTAGTCAAAAATAGTCTGTCATTTTGCTAAAATGTTTTTCTTTTTTGAACTTTGTTTTAAGTTCAGGGGTATATGGGCAGGATGTGCAGGTTCTTTAAATATGGAAACATACCGTCCCGAAGTTTGGTTGTGCAGATTGTTTTATCACCCAGGTATTAAGTCTACTAACTATTAGTTATTTTTTCTGATTCTCTCCCTCCTCTCACCCCCTACCTCCTGATAGGCCCTGGTGCGTGTTGCTCCCCTCCATGTTTCTGTGTGTTCTCATCATCTACCCTCCACTTATAAGTGAGAAAATGTGGTATTTGGTTTTCTGTTTCTGTTAGTTTTTTAAGGATAATGGCCTCCAGCTCCATCCATGTCCCTACAAAGGACATAATCTTGTGCTTTTTTATGGCTGCATAGTACTCCATGTTGTATATGAACTACGTTTTCTTCAACCAGTCTATTATTGATGAACATGTAGGCTGATTTGATGTCTTTGCTATTGTGAATAGGGCTGTGATGAACTTGTGCGTGCAGGTATCTTTATAATAGAATGACTTATATTTGTTTGGGTATATACCCAGTAATGAGATTGCTAGGTCAAATGGTATTCTTTTCTTTAGGTCTTTGAAGAATCACCACACTGTCTTCCACAACGTTTGAACTCGACCAACAGGGTAAAAATGTTGCTTTTTCTCCACAACTTTGTCAGCATCTGTGATTTTTTGATTTTTTCATGGTAACCATTATACCTGGTATAAAATGATATCTCATTGTGGTTTGGATTTACATTTCTCTAATGGTCACTGATGTTGAACTTCTGTTTCATACGCTTATTGGCTGCATGTATGTCTTCTTTCAAGAAGTGTTTCTGTGTGTCCTTTGGCCAATTTTTAATAAGGTTGTTTGTTTTTCTCGTGTAAATTTATGTTCCTTATGGATGCTAGAAATTAGATTATTGTCAGATGCACAGTTTGCAAAAATTTTCTCCCATTCTATACATTGTCTGTTTACTCTGTTGATAGTTTCTTTTGCTGTGCAAAAGCTCTTTAGTTTAATTAGATCCCATTTGTCAATGTTCTCTTTGTTCTAATTGCTTTTGCGCCTTCATCATAAAATATTTGCCCATGCCTATGTCCTGAATGGTATTGCCTAGGTTGTCTTCCAAAGTTTTTATAGTCTTGGGTTTTACATTTAAACCATGTTGAGTTTATTGTTGTATATGATGTAAGGAATCTTTCTTTATTTTTTAAATTTAAATTGGGTTCTGAAGTACAAGTGCAGAATGTGTAGGTTTGTTACATTGGTATATGTGTGCCATGGTGGTTTACTGCACCTATCAGCCCGTTATCCAGGCTTCAAGTCCCACATGTATTAGCTAGTTATCCTAATGCTCTCCCTCCCTTTGACTCCCATTCCCTGACTAGCCCCAGTTGTGTTGTTTCCCTTCCAGTGTCCATGTGTTCTTATTGTTCAACTCCCACTTATGAGTGAGAATATGCGGTGGTTAGTTTTCTGTTCCTGTGTTAGTTGCAGAGGATGATGGAGGAAGGGGTTCAGTTTCAATTTTTTGCACATGGCTAGGCAGTTATCCCAGCACCATTTATTGAGTACAGAGTCGTTTTTTCATTGCTTGTTTTTGTCAGGTTTGTCGAAGATCAGTTAGTTGTAGGTGTGCAGTCTTATTTCTGGGTCCTCTATTCTGTTTCATTGGTCTGTGTGTCTGTTCTTGTACCAGTACCATGCTGTTTTGGTTTCTGTAGCCCTGTAGCACAGTTTGAAGTTGGGTAGTGTGATGCCTCCAGCTTAGTTCTTTTTGTTTGGGGTTGTCTTGACTATTCAGGCCTTTGTTGGTTCCATATAAATTTTAAAATAGCTTTTCTAGTTTTGTGAAAAATGTCATTGGTAGTTTAACGGAAATACTATTAACTCTATAAATTTCTTTGTGGAGTGTGTCTACTTTAACAATATTAACTCTTTCTATCCATAAGCATGAAATGTTTTTCTATTTGTTTATGTCATGTCTGATTTCTTTGAGAAGTGGTTTATAGTTCTCCTTGTAGTGGCCTTTCACTTCTCTTGTTAGATACATTCCTTGGTATTTTATTCTTTTTGTGGTAACTGTGAATGAGTGTTCATTCACGATTTTGCTCTTGGCTTGACTGTTGTTGGTATATAAGGATTTAGTGCTAGTGATTTTTGCCCATTTATTTTGTATCTTGGGACTTTGTTAAAGATATTTATCAGCTTAAGAAGCTTTGGGGTTGAGACAATAGGGGTTTTCAAGATATAGAATCATGTCGTCTGACATCAGGTGTTGTTTAATTTCTTTTCTTTCAATTTGAATGCCTTTTTCTCTTACCTGATTGCTCTGCCCAGTACTTCCAATACTATCTGAAATAGGATTCATGAGAGAGGGCATCCTTGTCTTGTGCCCGTTTTAAAAGGGAATGCTTTCAGCTTTTGCCCTTTCAGTATGATATTGGCTGTGGGTTTGTCATACATGGTTCTTATTATATTGAAGTATGTTTTTTTCAATACCTAGTTTATTGAGAGTTTTTACAAGAATGGATGTTGAATTTTATGGATGCAAAGATTTATCTGCATCTATTCAGACAATCATGTGGCTTTTGTCTTTAGTTCTGTTTATGTGATAAATCACATATTGATTTGTGTACGTTGAATTAAAGTTGCATCCCACAGATGGAGCCTACTTGATTGTGGTGGATAAGCTTTCTGATGCGCTGCTGGATTTGGTTTGCCCCTATTTTGTTAAGAATGTTTGCATAAATGTTCATCAAAAATATTGGCATGAAGTTTTTTTTTTTCTTTTTTTATTTTATTATTATTATACTTTAAGTTTTAGGGTACATGTGCACAATGTGCAGGTTAGTTACATATGTACGCATGCACCATGCTTGTGTGCTGCACCCATTAACTCGACATTTAGCATTAGGTATATCTCCCAATGCTATCCTTCTCCCCTCCCCCCTCATCACAACAGTCCCCAGAGTGTGATGTTCCCCTTCCTGTGTCCATGTGATCTCATTGTTCAATTCCCACCTATGAGTGAGAACATGCGGTGTTTGGTTTTTTTGTTCTTGTGATAGTTTACTGAGAATGATGATTTCCAATTTAATCCGTGTCCCTACAAAGGACATGAACTCATCATTTTTTATGGCTGCATAGTATTCCATGGTGTATATGTGCCACATTTTCTTAATCCAGTCTATCATTGTTGGACATTTGGGTTGGTTCCAAGTCTTTGCTATTGTGAATAGTGCCGCAATAAACAAACGTGTGCCTGTGTCTTTAAAGCAGCATGATTTATAGTCCTTTGTGTATATACCCAGAAATGGGATGGCTGGGTCAAATGGTATTTCTAGTTCTAGATCCCTGACGAATTGCCACACTGACTTCCACAATGGTTGAACTAGTTTACAGTCCCACCAACACTGTAAAAGTGTTCCTATTTCTCCACATCTCCTCCAGCACCTGTTGTTTCCTGACTTTTTAATGATTGCCATTCTAACTGGTGTGAGATGGTATCTCATTGTGGTTTTGATTTGCATTTCTCTGATGGCCAGTGATGGTGAGCATTTTTTCATGTGTTTTTTGGGTGCATAAATGTCTTCTTTTGAGAAGCGTCTGTTCATGTCCTTCGCCCACTTTTTGATGGGGTTGTTTTCTTCTTGCAAATTTTTTGAAGTTTTGTTTTTTTTCTTGTGTGTCTGCCAGGTTTTGGTACCAGGATGATGTGCTCTCATAGAAAGAGTCGGGAAGGAAGCCCTCTGTTTCAGTTTTTTGAAATAATTTTAGTGGGAATTGTACCAGTTCTTCTTCATAAATGTCATAACCTTCAGCTTTTAATCTTTGTGTTTCTGATCTTTTTGTGGTTTGTAGGCTATTTATTACTGCCTGAATTTCAGAGCCTGTTGTTTGTCTTTTCAGGGATTCAATTTCTTCCTGGTTTATTCTTGAAGGGTGTATGTGTCCAGAAATTTATCCATTTCTACTGAATTTGTTATCTTATAGGCATAGAGGTGTTTATGATATTTTCTGATGGTTATTTTTATTTCTGTGGGGTCAGTGGTAACCCTTATTATTTCTGATTGTGTTCATTTTAATTTTTGATATTTTCTTCCTTATTAGTCTACTACTGGTGTATTTATATTATTGGTTTTTTCAAAGAAAAAGAAACAGCTCCTGAATTTGTTGATCTGTTGAATGGTTTCTCTTGTCCCTATCTCCATCAGTTCAGGTCTGATTTTGGTTATTTCTTGTCTTCTGCTAGCTCTAGAACTTCTTTGCTCTTGTTCCTGTAGTTATTTTTGTTGTGAAGTTGTAACTTGAGACATTTCTGGCATTTTAATGTGGGCATTTAATGCCATAAATTTTCATCTTAATACTGCCTTAGCTGTGTCCCAGAGATTCTGGTATGTTTTGTCTTTGTTCTCATTGGTTTCAAAGAACTCCTTGATATCTGCCTTAATTTCATTATTTACCCAAAAGTTATTCAGGAGCAGGTGATTCAATTTCCATTTAATTTTATGGTTTTCAGTAAATTATTTCATCGTGAGTTTTAATTTGATTGTGCTGTGATCTGAGCCACTGTTTATTATGATTTCAGTTCTTTTGCATTTGCTGAAGAGTGTTTTACTTCTGGCTAAGTGACCAATTTCAGAGAAAGTGTCATGTAGTGATGAGAAGAATGTATATTCTGCTGTTTTCATGTGGAGAGTTCTGTAAATATATATCATGTCCATTTGATCCAGAGCTAAGTTCAGGTCCTGAACATCTTTGTTAATTTTCTGTCTCAATAATCTTTCTAATACTGTCAGTGGGATGTTAAAGTCGGTCACTATTATTGTGTGGTGTTCTAAGTCTCTTTCAAGATATCTAGAAACTTGTTATATGAATCTGGGTACTCTTGTGTTGGGTGCATATATATTTAGAATAGTTAATTCTTGTTGAATTGAATTATTTGCCGTTATGTAATGACCCTCTTTGTTGTTGTTGTTGTTGTTGTTTTTAATCTGTGTTGCTTTAAAGTCTGTTTTGTTGGAAAGTAAGACTGCAACCCTTGCTTTTTTAGGTTTTCCACTTGCTTGGTGAAATTTCCTCCATCCCTTTATTTTTAGCCTATGTGTGTCCCCGCATGTGAGATGGGTGTCTTGAAGAGCATACCAATGGGTCTTGGTTTTTATACAATTGCCACCCTGTGTGTTTCAACTGGGGCATTTATCCCATTTACATTTAAGGTAAGTATTGTTATGCGTAGATTTTATCTTGTTATCTTGATGCTAGCTGGTTATTTTTATTTTTCAGACTTGTTTATGTGGTTGATTTATAGTGTCAATGGTCTGTGTACTTGAGTGTGTTTTTGTGGTGGCTGGGAATAATTTTCCCTTTCCAAATTGGTGCTTCCTTCAGGAGCTCTTGAAAAGCATGTCTGGTGTTCATGAATTAACTCGGAATTTGCTTGTCTGAAAGGGATGTTATTTCTCCCCAGATTAAGCTTAGTTTGGCCAGATATAAAATTCTGGCTTAAAGTTTATTTTCTTTAAGAACGTTAAATATTGGCCCCCAATCTCTTTTGGCTTGTAGGGTTCTCACTGACAGCTCTGCTCTTAGTCTGATCAACTTCTTTTTGTAGGTGACTTGGCTTTTCTCTGCGGCTGAGCTTTTTTTTCTTTTTTTTTCTTCCATTTCAAGTTTGGGGAATCTGACGTTTATGTGTCTTGGGTATGATTTTTTCTTGGAGTATCTTACTGAACTTCTCTCCATTTTCTGAATTGTTGGCCAGTGTAGCAAGGTTGGGGAAGTTCTCATTGATGATATCCTGAAATATGTTTTCCTGATTGGTTCCATTCTCCCCAGCTCTTTCAAGTACACCAATCAGTTGTAGATTTGGTCTCTTTACATAATCCCATATTTCTCAAAGGTTTTGTTTATTCCTTTCATTCTTTTTTTCTATTCTTCTCTGCATGTCTTCTTTCAGAAATACAAACTTCAAGCTCTGAGTTTCTTTCCTCATTAATACTTGTGATTGCATTATGAAATTTTTGTATTGTGTTTTACAGTGCTATCGGGTTGGTTAGGCTCCTCTCTATCCTGGCTAATTTGTTTGTCAGCTCCTGCAATATTATATTGTAATTTTTAGCTTTCTTGTATTGAGTTAGAGCATGCTCCTTTAGATCAGTGAAGTTCATTTTTATCCACATTCTGGGGTCTACTTCTGTTATTTCAGGGATCACAGCCTCACCCTTATTCTGAACTCTTGCTGGAGAAGTAGTGTGGTCGTTTGGGAGAGGGAGAGCACCCTGATTTTTGAGTTTTTAGTATTCTTGTTGTGATTCTCACCTTTGTGTGCCTATCTATCTTTAATCTTTGAGGTTGCTGGCCTTTGAATGAGATTTTTGTTTGTTTCTCTTCCTTTTAACTGTTTGGCCATTTTGTGTGGGGCTGCTGTAGTTTGTTGGGCATCTGCTCCACTCTCTTGTCACCTCGGATTTTCCAGTATCTGGGGGTATCACCAGTGAAGGCTGTGAAACAAGAAAGATAGCAGCCCACTCCCTTCCCTGGGAGCTCCATCCCAGGGCGGGTGCAGACATGTTGAGGGCTCGAACACACCTGTAGGAGGTGACTGGAAACCCCAGTTGGTAGGTCTCACCCAGCTAGGAGGAATAGGATTGGGGACCCACTTAAGCCATCTAGCCCCACTTTCATAGATCAGCCATGCTGTGCGGGGTACCATTTCTGCCCTTCAGCAGATTGGGCTCTCCAAAGCCTGGAGGCTGAAACAGCAAAGTGGCTGAAACAGCAAAGATGGTGGCCAACCCCTCTCTCTAGGAACTCTGGCCCAGGAAGTTTTTAAACCTCTGCCAGCCAGACAACATCAGTGGGAGTTGCTGGAGGCCCTGGTTGGGAAGTTCCACCCAGAGATGCAGAGCATATTAGGTCCCACTTAAAGAAGCAATCTGATCACATTATGGCAGATCCACTGTGCTATGCTGGGGGATTCCTTCTTCCCTGGGATGGTTTGGACTCTCCTAAGCCCACTGATTGTTATGGCTGAGTTCTCCAAACAACAAATATGAAGACCCACTGCTCCCAATGTGCACTGCATCCAGGAATAAATCAAAACTCTGCCTGCCGGAGAATATGGAAGGGGCTGTCTGGAGGCTCTGGTAGGAGGCCCCACTCTGAGATGAAAAAGGTATCTGGGTCCCACTTCAAGAAGTAGTCCGGCCAAACTTTGGGAGGGCCAATGTGCCGTGCTAAGGGATTTCTTCCATCTGCCATGAGTTTTTTTTTTTTTAACTCTCCTAAACCTCCAGGCTGGAATGGCTGAGTCATCCAAACAGCAAATATAGCAGCCAGCCCCTGCCTCCAGGAACGTTGTTCCATCCCAGGTAATTGCAATGCTGTTGCTGGGGCTGGATGGAATTCCAAGCCAGTAGGTCTTATCCTGTGAGGCGTCATGGAAGTGGGGCCCACTGATGCTGCTCAGGCCCATGGATTCAGCTTCCTTTCTAGGGGCATTTACGGAGATCCAACCTCCCACCTTGTCTGAGTTGCAGTCACCTTTGCCAGAGATCTCAGAGCCAAAGTATGTAAAGCTCCTGCGATTCTGTTTGTGTCTGAGCAGTTGTTCTGCCGGGAACACGCAGCTCTGTGTATCAGACCAAAGGCCCTGGTGGAATAAGTTTACGAGAAAATCTCCTGACCCGAGAGTTGCAAAGATCCATGGGAGAAGTGTGGTTTCTCAGGGTCACGTATTTGCTCACCACTTCCTTGGGCAGGGTAGGTTCCCTTTGGTCTGTGTTACTCCCGGGTGGGCGTTTGCCATGCCCTTCTTTTTCCCATGGGTTGAGCTGTTTCCTTCATTAGTCCCACTGCAAATATCTGGGTGTTTCAGTTGATGGTGCTGTATTTATTTTCCCTCTTTGTTTCTTTTCATCAAAGCCACACACCATAGCTACTTCTAGTCAGCCCTCTTGGCACACTTTGCTACAATATTTCAGTAGATGGTTTTTATCCTGTAGGCTGTCTCATGGTCCCATATGGCTGGCTGTAGGAGCACAAGCCTGCACCAGCAACCATGTCCATTTCAAAGGCTAAGAAGTAGGAAAGATGCAAGGTCAAAGTGGCTTGCACAGCTGCATCAGCTCCATCTGAGGAATCTCCCTGAAGTCCCATCAATACTTATGGTTACAACCAATTGTCTTGAATAGGGGTCAGAAACTATAACCTTTGTGTTTGTAAGTTGCTGTTTGAATAAAACTAAATTTCTAATTTTGTGTTTTGTTTTGTTTTGTTTTGTTTTGTTTTGTTTGATGGAGTCTCACTCTGTCACCAGGCTGGAGTGCAGTGGTGTGATTTTGGCTCACTGCAACCTCTGACTCTTGGGTTCAAGTGATTCTCCTGCCTCAGCCTTTCAAGTAGCTGGGATTACAGGTGTGCTTGCATCACCATGCCCAACATGCTGGGATTACAGGCATGAACCACCACACCCAGCCCTGACTCTCTGTTTTTAAGAGTGAAAGCAAAATTAAAACTGTGGCAATGACAAGTGCTCTTTTTCTACACTAAATTCAAAGGTAAACAGAAGAAGATGGAGGTTTTCTCAGGTGAAGTGGGCACTCATTTTTCAAACAAAGCCTTTTTTGGTGATTATTTATTTTCAGATCAGATGGGAAAAAAATCTGGGTTCTTGTAAGCACTACCTTTATGACCAAATGTTAGTCAAGCTTAACTGAACCCTCTTTTTGACTAAGCCAACCTTGACTTCTTGCCCTGCTCCTGGTTTGAGAGGCTCACTTTCATAAATCCTGCTAATACTGTTTAGTAAAAATCCACATATCCCTTATGTCTACTAATATCGTGATTCCCTTTCTTTGATATTTAAGTCCTTAGCCAACCTGTAACCAGGCTTCTGCTATAAAAAGTTCCTCTTCCTCCTTTGGTATTTTATCAAATGTTTTTCAATAATTCTTATCCACTGATTTATTCTGCTTATTGACTATAAATTCTTCGTTGTCTGTGTTCAGAGTTATGATCAATTTCTGAACTGAACCCTATTACGATGGCCATAAAATCTACTACAATAGTATTAATGTCTTTCTTCCCAATTTTTAACAAACATCAGAAATTTTTATTTCACAGTTTCCCAACAGTATGTTTGAGTATAAAAACAGTTTTCAGTTTGCCCCCAAAAATGATGTGATCCACTGTGTAGATGTGTATGCCTGATCCTTGTGTCCAAAAAAGTATGTTTTTATTTAAATGGGGTGAGGGTGACAGATTATAGAGCCAATGTTTTCCTAAAATGCTGAGTCATAATTGAAACCATACAAATCAAGAATATAGAATGCTTGGACTCCAACATTTTTAACCCTGAGGATATTTTGATGTCCATAATTTATATTACTGTGAAAATAATGCACAAGAAAGAAAACTGATAGCTCTCCCTCTCCCTCTCCCTCTCCCTCACCCTCTCCGTCTCCCCACGGTCTCTCTCTCCCTCTCTTTCCACGGTCTCCCTCTGATGCCGAGCCGAAGCTGGATGGTACTGCTGCCATCTCGGCTCACTGCAACCTCCCTGCCTGATTCTCCTGCCTCAGCCTGCAGAGTGCCTGCGATTGCAGGCGCGCGCCGCCACGCCTGACTGGTTTTCGTATTTTTTTGGTGGAGACGGGGTTTCGCTGTGTTGGCCGGGCTGAGCTCCTAACCGCGAGTGATCCGCCAGCCTCGGCCTCCCGAGGTGCCGGGATTGCAGACGGAGACTCGTTCACTCAGTGCTCAATGGTGCCCAGGCTGGAGTGCAGTGGCGTGATCTCGGCTCGCTACAACCTCCACCTCCCAGCAGCCTGCCTTGGCCTCCCAAAGTGCCGAGATTGCAGCCTCTGCCCGGCCGCCACCCCGTCTGGGAAGTGAGGAGCGTCTCCACCTGGCCGCCCATCGTCTGGGATGTGAGGAGCCCCTCTGCCTGGCTGCCCAGTCTGGAAAGTGAGGAGCGTCTCTGCCCGGCCGCCATCCCATCTAGGAAGTGAGGAGCGCCTCTTCCCGGCCGCCATCACATCTGGGAAGTGAGGAGCGTCTCTGCCCGGCCGCCCATCATCTGAGATGTGGGGAGCACCTCTGCCCTGCCGCCCCGTCCGGGATGTGAGGAATGTCTCTGCCCGGCCGCCCCGTCTGAGAAGTGAGGAGACCCTCTGCCTGGCAAACACCCCGTCTGAGAAGTGAGGAGCCCCTCCGCCCGGCAGTCACCCCGTCTCGGAAGTGAGGAGCATCTCCGCCTGGCAGCCACCTCGTTCGGGAGTGAGGTGGGGGGGTCAGCCCCCCGCCTGGCCAGCCACCCCATGCGGGAGGGAGGTGGGGGGTCAGCCGCCCGCCCGGCCAGCCGCCTCCTCCGGGAGGGAGGTGGGTGGGTTAGCCCCCCGCCTGGCCAGCCGCCCCATCCGGGAAGTGAGGGGCGCCTCTGCCCGGCAGCCCCTGATGGGAAGTGAGGAGCCCCTCTGCCTGGCCAGCCGTCCCGTCTGGGAGGGAGGTGGGGGATCAGCCCCCCGCCCGACCAGCCACCCCTTCTGGGGGGGAGGGAGGTGGGCGGGTCAGCCCCCCGCCCGGCCAGCCGCCCCGTCCGGGAGGTGAGGGGCGCCTCTGCCCGGCCGCCCCTACTGGGAACTGAGGAGCCCCTCTGCCCGGCCAGCCACCCCATCCGGGAGGGAAGTGGGGGGGTCAGCCCCCCGCCCGGTCAGCCGCCCCGTCCGGGAGGGAGGTGGGGGGTCAGCCCCCCGCCCGGACAGCCGCCCCGTCCGGGAGGGAGGTGAGGGGGTCAGCCCCTCGCCCGGCCAGCCGCCCTGTCCAGGAGGGAGGTGGGGGGGGTCAGCCCCCCGCCTGGCCAGCCGCCCCGTCCGGGAGGTGAAGGGCGCCTCTGCCCAGCCGCCCCTACTGGGAAGTGAGGAGCCCCTCTGCCCTGCCACCACCCCGTCTGGGAGGTGTACCCAACAGCTCATTGAGAATGGGCCATGATGACAATGGCGGTTTTGTGGAATAGAAAGGGGGGAAAGGTGGGGAAAAGATTGAGAAATCGGATGGTTGCCGTGTCTGTGTAGAAAGAGGTAGACATGGGAGACTTTTCATTTTGTTCTGTACTAAGAAAAATTCTTCTGCCTTGGGATCCTGTTGATCTGTGACCTTACCCCCAACCCTGTGCTCTCTGAAACATGGGCTGTATCCACTCAGGGTTGAATGGATTAAGGGCGGTGCAAGATGTGCTTTGTTAAACAGATGCTTGAAGGCAGCATGCTCCTTAAGAGTCATCACCACTCCCTAATCTCAAGTACCCAGGGACACAAACACTGCGGAAGGCCACAGGGTCCTCTGCCTAGGAAAACCAGAGACCTTTGTTCACTTGTTTATCTGCTGACCTTCCCTCCACTATTGTCCTGTGACCCTGCCAAATCCCCCTCTGCGAGAAACACCCAAGAATGATCAATTAAAAAAAAAAAAGAAAACTGATAATGCTTAAAATTAAACATGGTGCAACGTATCACTGACTAAAAACTGATATAAGAAAACATTATTCCAAAAAACATTTGGGTATCCACCACTTAACCCAGGAAAGTAGACCGTGTAGAAATAATGGTCCCTACAGACAATTTGTAGAAGCAGAATCTATAAATTATGATGTGAAAAATTCAGGTAATTTTTGTTTAAATATAGTGATCCTGATAAAAATTCAATTGAATTAAAAATTAGAGAAGATTAACTTGAATTAGTTATGTTTTTATAAAATATAAATTATGAAGTTAAAACGTAATATATAAGTATGCTCTGGAAAACACATTCTCAAATGAATAAAATTTCTTTTTATTGGATTAGTTGAATGTTTGATGTTATCTGTTTATTAAACCCAAGGGGATATCACCACCGATCCCACAGAAATACAAACTACCATCAGAGAATACTATAAACACCTCTATGCAAATAAACTAGAAAATCTAGAAGAAATGGATAAATTCCTCGACACATACACCCACCCAAGACTAAACCAGGAAGAATTTGAATCTCTGAATAGACCAATAACAGGCTCTGAAATTGAGGCAATAATTAATAATTAGCTTTCCAACCAGAAAAAGTCCAGGACCAGATGGATTCACAGCCAAAATCTACCAGAGGTACAAGGAGGAGCTGGTACCATTCCTTCTGAAACTATTCCAATCAATAGAAAAAGAGGGAACCTCCCTAACTCATTTTATGAGGACAGCATCATCCTGATACCAAAGCCTGGCAGAGACACAACAAAAAAAGAGAATTTTAGACCAATATCTCCGATGAAGATCTATGCAAAAATCCTCAATAAAATACTGGCAAACCGAATCCAGCAGCATATCAAAAAGCTTATCCACCATGATCAAGTGGGCTTCATCTCTGGGATGCAAGGCTGGTTCAACATACACAAATCAACAAACGTAATCCACCTTATAAACAGAACCAATGACAAAAAAACCATGTGATTATCTTGAGATATCAAGAGATGCAGAAAAGGCCTTTGACAAAATTCAACAACTCTTCCTGCAAAAAACTCTCAATAAATTAGGAATTGATGAGACGTATCTCAAAGTAATAGGAGCTATCTCTGACAAAGCCATAGCCAATATCATACTAAATGGGCAAAAGCTGGAAGCATTCCCTTTGAAAACAGGCACAAGAGAGGGATGCCCTCTCTCACCACTCCTATTCAACACAATGTTGGAAATTCTGGCCAGGGCAATCAGGAAGGAGAAGGAAATAAAGGGTATTCAATTAGGAAAAGAGGAAGTCAAATTGTCCCTGTTTGCAGATGACATGATTGTATATCTAGAAAACCCCATCATCTCAGCCCAAAATCTCCTTAAGCTGATAGGCAACTTCAGCAAAGTCTCAGGATACAAAATCAGTGTGCAAAAATCATTAGCATTCTTATACACCAATAACAGACAAACAGAGAGCCAAATCGTGAGTGAACTCCCATTCACAATTGCTTCAAAGAGAATAAAATACCTAGGAACCCAACTTACAAGGACGTGAAGGACCTCTTCAAGGAGAACTACAAACCACTGCTCAATGAAATAAAAGAGGATACAAACAAATGGAAGAACATTCCATGCTCATGGGTAGGAATAATCAATATCGTGAAAATGGCCATACTGCCCAAGGTAATTTATAGATTCAATGCCATCCCCATCAAGCTACCAAAGACTTTCTTCACAGAATTAGAAAAAAACTACTTTAAAGTTCATAAGGAACTAAAAAAGAGCCCTCATTGCCAAGTCAATCCTAAACCAAAAGAACAAAGCTGGAGCCATCACGCTACCTGACATCAAACTATACTACAAGGCTACAGTGACCAAAACAGCATTGTACTTGTACCAAAACAGAGATATAGACCAATGGAACAGAACAGAGCCCTGAGAAATAATGCCACATATCTACAACCATCTGATCTTTGACAAACCTGACAAACACAAGAAATGGGGAAATGATTCCCTAGTTAATAAATGGTGCTGGGAAAACTGGCTAGCCGTATGTAGAAAGCTGAAACTGGATCCCTTCCTTGCACCTTATACAAAAATTAATTCAAGATGGATTCAAGACTTAAATGTTAGACCTAAAACCGTAAAAACCCTAGAAGAAAACCTAGGCAATACCATTCAGGACATAGGCATGGGGAAGGACTTCATGTCTAGAACACCAAAAGCAATGGCAACAAAAGCCAAAATTGACAAATGGGTTCTAATTAAACTAAGGAGCTTCTGCACAGCAAAAGAAACTACCATCAGACTGAACAGGC
This sequence comes from Homo sapiens, assembly GCF_000001405.40. Classification (NCBI taxonomy): domain Eukaryota; kingdom Metazoa; phylum Chordata; class Mammalia; order Primates; family Hominidae; genus Homo; species Homo sapiens. The sequence goes on along the minus strand of NW_021160023.1, from coordinate 395,719 downwards.
AACCTACAGAATGGGAGAAAGTTTGTGCCATCTACTCATCTGACGAAGGGCTAATATCCAGAATCTACAATGAACTCAAACAAATTTACAAGAAAAAAACAACCCCATCAAAAAGTGGGTGAAGGATATGAAGACCCTTCTCAAAAGAAGACATTTATGCAGCAAAAAGACACATGGAAAAATGCTCATCATCACTGGCCATCAGAGAAATGCAAATCAAAACCACAATGAGATACCATCTCACACCACTTAGAATGGCGATCATTAAAAAATCAGGAAACAACAGGTGCTGGAGAGGATGTGGAGAAATAGAAACACTTTTACACGGTTGGTGGGACTGTAAACTAGTTCAACCATTGTGGAAGTCATTGTGGCGATTCCTCAGGGCTCTAGAACTAGAAATACTATTTGACCCAGCCATCCCATTACTGGGTATACACCCAAGGGAGTATAAATCATGCTGCTATAAAGGCACAAGCACAAGTATGTTTATTGCGGCACTGTTCACAATAGCGAAGACTTGGAACCAACCCAAATGTCCAACAATGATAGACTGGATTAAGAAAATGTGGCACATATACACCATGGAACAAAATGCAGCCATAAAAAATGAAGAGTTCATGTCCTTTATAGGGACATGGATGAAGCTGGAACCATCATTCTGAGCAAACTATCCAAGCACAAAACACCAAACACCGCATGTTCTCGCTCATAGGTGGGAATTGACCAAAGAGAACATATGGGCAGAAGAAGGGGAACATCACACTCCGGGGCCTGTTGTGGGGTAGGGTGAGGGGGGACGGATAGCATTTGGAGATATACCTAATGTTAAATGGCGAGTTACTGGGTGCAGCACACCAACATGGCACATGTATACATATGTAACAAACCTGCATGTTGTGCGCATGTACCGTAAAAGTTAAAGTATAATAAAAAAATAAAATAAAATAAAATTTAATTAGAAATGAAAAAAGAAAATTCTACAACTTGAAACTAGATAGAAGATAGATCAGAAACAAAAATAGGAGTAAAGTGTGACTTTCTTCTCACTGTTTGATTATTATAGAGGCATTTTTATTTCATTAAAATCTTATATTTCTGGGGCTAGTTAATGTTATGATATTTTATTTTTAAATAGTTTTATTTTATTTACTTCAGTTAATTTGTAATTTTTGAGGATGCATTGTAGGTGTATATACTTATGGGGTTCATGAGATGTTTTGATGCGGTCTCGCAATGCATAATAATCACATCATAGAGAATGGGATACCCACCCACTCAAGCATTTATTCTTTGGGTTAAAATCTGATTATTCCTTCTTAGCTAGTTTAAAATGTACAATTACATTATTATTGACCAGAGTCATCTCGTTGTGCTATCAAATAATATGTCTTATTTATTCTATTTTTTTGTACACATTAACAGTCCCCACCTTTCCCCCAGCCTCCACTGTCTTTCTTAGCCTCTGAAAACCATCCTTCTGCTCTCTATGTCCGTGAATTCAGTTGTATTAATTCTTCCATCCCACGAATAAGTGAGAACGCACAGTGTTTATCTTTCTGTGCCTGGCTTATTTCACTTAACATACTCTTCTCTTTTATCCATGTTGTCGTAAAAGACAAAATCTCATTTTTATGGCTGAATACTACTCCAATGTATATATGTACTACTTTTTTTATACATTCATTCATTTGTAGACAGTTTGCTTTCAAATCTTAGCTATTGTAAACAGTGCAGCAACAAGCCGATTTTCTTTCTTTTGTGTCAATGCCCATCACTGGGATTGTTGGGTTGCATTGTAGCTGTGGCAGCTCAATTTTTAGCTTTTTGAGGAACCTCCACACTTTTTTATAGTGGTTATACTAATTTACATTCCCACCAAGAGTGCACTAAAGTTTTCTCCACATCCTCGTCAGCACTTGTTATTGTCTGTCTTTGGGATATAAGACATTTTAACTGGAGTGAGATAATATCTTATTGTAGTTCTGATTTTCATTTCTCTGAGGTTTAATGATGTTTAGCAACATTTATATGTCTGTTTGCCATTTGTATGTTTTCTTTGTAGAAATGCCTCCTCCTGGCTGGGTGTTTCATGCCTATAATCTCAGCACTTTGGGATGCCGAGATGGAAGGATCACCTGAGGTCAGGAGTTTGAGATCAGCCTGGCCAACATGGCTAAACCCCAGTCTCCACTAAAAATATAAAAATTTGTCAGGCATGTGTTCTGCATGGGAGATGCATGAGGAAGAAGAAAAGGCACACACAATACTTTTAAGGGTAAACATCTTTTGTCTCAATTATATGGCAATACAGATATAATAAGTAAATGATATGATAAGCAAATTGATATGAGAAGGGAAAAAATATATATATTTTTTATATATATAAATATATATATTATATATATAAAATTATATATGTATTTATTTACATTTATTTATTTAAATAATTATGTACATAATTATATAATTATTTTTATTTACAGTTATATGTATAAATTATATACATATATATGTATATATATATATACACATATGTTTACACACAGCAGACTACAGAGTATGGAGGAAGCATCACCAGACAGAGAAGCAATAGCCTGGGCTCCAGAGTCAGACACTACACTCACCAGACTATGGAGGATTCATCAACAGACCGGGAAGCAACAGCCTGGGCTACAGAGTTGGCCCCTCATCCCTGCAGAGATGGGGAGAGGTCTCAGGAAGCTCTAGTGCCATCTGGGACCCTAGCTCTTTTTGTAAGGAGTTCTTTGGCATAAGGCCGGGTAACGAGGACTCTTCACTACTGGGCTCAAAAACCACAAAAATGTCAAATTTTTGGCGATTGTCTGTTGTTTTTCAATAACTAACATACAGGAACAGATTAAAATAGAAATTTCTCTGAGACACTGGTGGATGAACGCCTGAAGAAACTCACAGAACCTGTTCCGGGACTTGGTGACCATTGTTTGTGACCATGTTCAATTGAGATAAAATTGAATATTTAACTTTTCTTCCAAATTTGGCTTCAATTTGATACTCAATTGTAGGAAAATACCCTTACAGATACTTGGGGAAAGCATAGTTGATACAGATTACAGACTCAGGGTAAGCACAGGAGAATTAAAAGCACAGTTAATGAAAACCACACCCACCATGGCTGTGCAAGGAGAGTCGTAGTGTGAGAATTGTCAGGGATATACACTCAACATTCGGTATGCAGTAAGGTACAGGGACGATTCTCCAACGTAGCCCATTTTTGGTGGCCTCTGGCAATTCCACGCATAGCCAACATTGACTGCAGTTGGCTTCTGTTGCAGTGGTGGCTATGCAGATGATGAATTTATTCTTGGCATCAGACACAGAGACACAGGTACTGACCATTAGTAAACAGGTTATTCTCTGTAATAACCAAAACAGAGGGGAACATAATATTGTTTTTCATCTTTAGGAAACTGTACTATGCCTTCAGTTTCTTCTCCCATAGCTACAAGTTCACCAGCCATAGGAGTAGGATGTGATGGACGCTGTACTCATATTTTGGCTCCAGGATTTAAGCTACGTGTACCAGTGCGTCTGAATCTCCCAGTTCTGTATGTAGCCTCTGTTGGGGCAGAGACATCCTCAGGGGTTAATTGTTGACAAGGTACCACTAAAAATTGAGGAACCCACATCTGCAGTTTTACAGCAAAAGATTCTCGAGTGATATTGTATAAAATGATCTTTAACTCTCCCCTGTAACCACTCTGAATTATACCACCATACATTATGCCGTTCATTGCAAGACTTGAATGTGTTTTAATCCATTCATCCGCATTCAAATTTGCAACTATGGTGGAAATTTTGGCCTGTTGATCTGTCTGCTGATTAAATAGTCTGTCGAGAAAGCAGAGACACATGAGCATCAACATGAAAAACAGTGATAATGATAGTGTGCACCAGGATTCAGGTATCTTCCCAGGAGTGTTTTCCCTCTTTATGCCTAATTAACCATTTGTAAAGATAAAATAGAGAATGAAGGTGGTGTCGGTGAGATTGGACATCAAAAGACACAAAAGGAATGTGACATGGTGACCTGAGAAAGGAATAGAGAGAGAAATTAAAATAGACAAAAAGGGGAATCAGCAAGGAGATGGAGGAGGCAGAATAGAAGAGGGGACTCAACAAACAGGAGCAGTTGGTGCAACAGAGGGTGCATCGCATACTTGTACGACGCTTCTTTCATTTTCTAGTTACTTTTCCTTTTAAATTTGTGTCAGATTTAGTTAAGGTGTCAACGTTTTTTTAAATCTTTTTATATACTGAAAATATTCTTTGCTGTTTAGTAAATAACTTTCAGTATTTCAATTTGCTCTTGATAAGAGTATTAATTTTTAAATCAACAGACAACATTCAGTAAAACTAGTTAGTCTAATATGCAGCAGCTTCTTCTCTTCCACATGTGATTTGGGAAATTAATGCACTGTGAGACGAAATTTCCAAGTCTATGATGTCTTTAAGTTCCCTTTGCTCTTTTTTTTTTTAGCAGATATTGAAGAATGGGCTGGCTGGGCATGAAACTTTCTTCCACCAAGACCATCTTTTCATGATAAATACATTGTCCTGAGTTATTTTTATAGCTAATCCTCTTTCTTGTTTCCAATTGTCAATTATTACATATTTTCAACTTTATAATTTTGGAAGTTCGATGTGATTTCTCAAAAAAAAGAAAGAAAAAAAGAAAATGCTTGAGTTTAATGTGATTAGAATAACAGAGAAGTTTCTCCTGGTCAAGAGTATAAAATTTGGTCTGAGACCTTTAGCCAGTGCTGGTGACTCTCTGCTGGCCTGTCCTCATCCTATCCCTCCCTTCCCAAACATACACTTACACAGTCACAAGGCAGCTGAGGAGAGGAGAGCACAGACTTTAAACTCTGTATGTGTATATATTTTAAGATAGAACCTTGCTCTGTTGCCCAGGATGGAGTGTAGTGGCACTATCTCGGCTCACTGTAGGCTCCACCTCTGAGTTCAGGCGATTCTCGTGCCTCAGTCTCCCAAGTAGCTGGGATTACAGGTGCCTACCACTATGCCCAGCAAATTTGTGTGTTTTTAGTAGAGTCAGGGTTTTGCCATGTTCCCCAGGTTGGTATCATACTCTTAGCCTCAAGCGAGCCACTGGCCTTGGCCTCCCAAAGTGCTGGAATTACAGGCATGAGCCACAATACCCGGCCTGTCTTTATATGATTTCTTTGGCTGTAAAGAGTATCAGTGGTGTCTGTACCTTTCTCAGTGGCTTAGGGTATCGTTTTTAGCAGAGGCTGTGGTAAAGTTTTGCTGGGAATAGGGGCACCAGAGGTTTAGTCATTGGATCCCAGTGATGGCAGTGGTGAGCTTACCATGCCTGCTTTTGGGCCTCAAGGCAGTTATGCTGGCAGCAGTGTTAACAGGTCCAGGAAGACTAATTATTTGGCCTTCATGTGATTTGCTCAGGTGTCAGCAGTGAGCAAGGTGGGTGGGCAGCTTCTTGAGCCCCTGGACAGTGGTTATGGCATGGATGATGGCAGTAGCAACGACAAGAAAAACCTTTGACTCCCAAGCGTTCCATGCTGGTGTTGGTGTTTGCTGTGATGGGCTGGGAAGGCCAGTTTCTAGGAACACAGGTGGTGTATATATGTGGGTATCAGCTGCGTTAGTAGCTCCAGGTTCAGTGAGTCCATCCTCAGGTCTCAGAGAAGAGTGCTCAGGTGCCAATCTTGTTAGACTTCACTGGACTGAAGTCCATATTTTAAGCACTATCTGGCTCCACAAACTCATTGGCCGTTCTTATCATCACTCTGAGCCCATTAACCCCGCAGCAGAAAAACATCAGGAAAGTTTTTAATATTTCTTCTTTGGGGCACAGTATGCAAGGAAAGGAATTGTATTAAGAGATGAAATAAGTACTCTTATTAGAAAAAGGAACACTTTGGGGCCAGAAATGGACCAGTGTCCAAGGCATGCAGAAAGCAGGAAATAATTACCGGGTCATGGGATGGAACTATGGAGAGTGACTAAAGTTTCAAGATCATAAACCAGTCTTTAGTTGCTCCTAATTTAATTTAATGCAATCCTCACTCTTTGTCATCATTTGGTTTTAATGTATAAAGCTATGGGGTCTGCTTATTGTATGTTTTGTAGTATAATTTGGAAATTAATCTATCAGCTCTTTTTTCTCAGCCCAGTTGGTGTCTTGTCAACTCCTCTGCACTAATTGCTTCTTGTTTTCTCACAGTCCAGCCCTATGTTCTCATGAGCTGTGACCCTGGGGTATCCAGGCTCTGGTTTGCCTGCTGTGGAAAAAGTGCAGCTTTCTAAGCTGGTCACATATCTCTACATTAAATGTACATTGTCTTTTTAAAGCAATGTTCAGACATTCATATATTCTTTCTTCCTGAGGTTTAAGCACCACAAGCAGCAGTCATATAATGGAGAGATTCTCAACAACAGAGTGAGTCTCTGCCATAATTGGATTTATTATACGTTAGAAACAGCAGTTACATACTAAATGTTTTACAAAGTGTTTTTTATAATTTTTATTTCCTTAAATATTGCAAATAGAAAATTTAGAGGTCCAACATTTATTTAAAATTTGGCTCTTGTAATTTGCAGTGGAAAGCTTATATGAGTATCTACCTCTAAACCAATTAATTAAAAATGGTCTGGGGTTAACTGGGCACCAAAGTATAAGAAAATTTTAATTAAGTGAAAAAGTCTAAGTAATGACCAACTAAGGAAATAAAAAGGAAATTATACTTTCAACCCCCTTTCCCCCAGTTGCTCTATGCTCTATTTTTTTTCTATTGCCAAGTTGTACAATTTTATTTTTGTCCTTGATAATTGTACTTTATTTTAACGTGACTAGATTATATTTTATTTTATTTTATTTTATTTTATTTTATTTTATTTTGTTTTATTTTATTTTAATGTGACTAGATTTTGCCTCACTCCAGGCTGGAGTACGGTAGCATGATTATAGTTCACTGTAACCTCAACTTCCTGAGTTCAAGTAATCCTCCTGCCTCAGCCTTCTAAGTAGTTGAGACCACAGTTACATGCTATAATGTCAAAATAATTTTTAAAACATTTTCAGTGACAAGGTCTTGCTTAGGCTTGTCTCAAACTTCTGGCCTTAATTGATCCTCTGGCCTCAGCATCCCTAGCAGCTGAAATTTCAAGTGTGAGCCACTGAGCCCAGCTCTTTATTTTTATAAATATTTATCTCCTTAGTTTTTTCTGAAGCATTTTCAACACCTTCACCTGAACTTTCAGGCTTTCAACTCACAGTTGATTTTATCCATTTTGCTATTCATCCTATTTATTCTATTGCTTGTATACTTTTGTAACATATTTAATATTTTGAGTTTTAAATTCTTGCTACTTATATGTATGTATTTTTAGTTGTCTCTTTTGCAAGGCTGCGATTCTCTCTAGAGAAGAGAATGGGCTCTATGCTTTCTTGAGAAAAGCATTTTATAACATGGGAGTAAAACAGACCCTGTGGAAAATAAAATAAAAGGCATTTTAATCATGATTTTTTATAAATTGCTATTTGGGAGACACAAATTTAGCAAGAAGCTATATCATGTTCCATTCAGATGAGGTTAGGGAGGGACTTATAAAGTTTTACTGCAAGTTTACACAAGTGAAAGATTTTAGCACAGTCTATGATGGACAATGTTTGATTGCCAGCTTAGACTGTATCTAGGCAATCATCAGCTTAATTCAGCACAGCTTTCTCTTCAGGAGGTTTGTGATCGGGCTCAGTATAAACAATCCAAGTCAAATGCAGTTGCCTTTTTAGGACATCTGTAATTTTCCCAGTTCGAACAGGTAAAATTCCACCTGGGTGTGTATGAGTATTAATTCAACTCCTCATGTCCTCCTAGTTGTCTTTAGAGACCTCTCAAATAACTATCTCCATTTTGGATTTCTTTTAATTAGAAATAAAGAGAGCAAGGATTATCACTGGTTGGGAATATAGAAAAATAGTGCCCACCTGTGATTCATCGGACCCCAGTCAGAGAGAAAAGGCCAAGATATGCCTGACAGAAAGGCTTGAGGACCTTTAGGTAATTTATTCCTCAAAAAGAATTGGTTCACACCTGTAATTCCAGCACTTTGGAAGGCCAAGGCGGGCAGATTATTGGAGGTCAGGAGTTCAAGACCAGCCTGACAAACATAGTGAAACTAAAAATACAAAATTTACTAAACATACTAAACGTACAAAAATTAGCTGGACATGAAGCTGGGTGCCTGTAATCTCAGCTACACAGAAGCCTGAGGCAGCAGAATCTCTTGAACCCAGGAGGTGGAGATCGCAGTGAGCCAAGATTGTACCAATGTACTCCAGCCTGGGTGACACAGCAAGACTCTGTCTCAGAAAGAAAAAATTGGATAAAGAATTGCCCTAATGCTGGGAATTTTACCTCATAGGTAGTAAAAATATTTACAGAATAAGGCCCAGGTGTAGCCATAAAGTGGCATTACAATTCTTTCATTCTAGATAAGAAACTAACTTAAAAAAAGAATAGAAATTCTAAGGTAAGAGACAAAACTCTGGGAGGATTTACATCTAAGGTAAAGGCTCAATCACAGGACACCAGAAGAAGATTGAGAATGCAGCTTCCTTTCTGCCCTGCATCCATTGTCAATAGACTTTCCCTGGCCTTCTCCTTTTGACTTTGGTCATTTTATTTTATAATGTTTTTTTCCACATAGACCTGATGCAACTCCAGAGTTGGAAGAAAAAACAACAATGTCCTAATAGTTGCTTAGAGGAAACCTCAGCAAGTGAAGCAGAAGTTGATTTATTTTTTGTAAAATCATAGAAAGGTATTCATCCTCCTGATCTCTGCAACTGCTTTTTAAAGAAATCTATATTTCCAAGACTGTCGCTATGCTTTGTGAAAATACCTTCAAATTATTAATTCTGCAAGTTCGAATGATCTATCTTCACTCTTTCCTTGGGTTAATATTAAAATGAACATATGCTCTGAGAAAAATGGACCTGGGTGTCTTATCCGGCAGCCAGAAACTATGACTGCTTTTCTCTTCTTCCTCATACATTATGCTGCCGACTCTTTAGGATTTCATAATTCAAGGAGAAATGTTAGAGTCTGTATCTCATTTAAGCTTACACAAGTGAAATAAAAAGAACCACAACCACAACTCCGATTTTGTAGTAGAATGAGATTTTCATATAATATTCGACTCTAGCATTTACTATTTACGAAAAATAAATATTTCCCCTCCTCTCTGGATAAACACATTCTGGGGAAGAGCTCTCAGGGAGATGGAGAAGAGCTGTCTCTTCTTCTTCTGATTTTCAGTTGTTCCAGCAAATGTCTCACAATATTCTTTACATTGAAGCTGCAGGAAATGAACCAAAACACCAAGTGCCTTAGTTGGGCCCTGCTGCTGAGGAAGAGGCTGTGTTTGAGCTGGTCTCAGTTTGCCCTGTCACTGACATAGGACTCTGTACTGGGGCCCGGCTACTAGATGGAAGGGCTAAATTATGTTGGGACTTCCCTCAGAATTATGGCTCACCCTCCTCCCTCATCTGCATTCTGAGCTCCAGGCACTGTGTAGAGCACTCTGTTCATTGACAGTTCCCATGTATCCCTGATATGTGAGTCATCAGCACGGCTGCACTTCACAGAGGACAAAATGAAATCGAGGGGAGGAGAGGCAACTCTCGACACCTGCAGGACTGGTCAGTGGTGGAGCCGGGATCCCAGAGTCAGCTTTTAGGATCACTTCACTCACATTAAGCCCAAAACTTCACTGAGCCTTTTAAAATAAAGGGATACTGATTGTCCCACCTCACAGCCCTCGGGTAAAGCTAGATCAGGCTCAATGTGGAGGGCACTGAGCACAGCACAAGTTGCATGTGAGTGGGGACTGTCATTGTTTCCTGGGGCCCTCAGGTTTGGAGGTTTCCTGCCATGTAGTGACAGCTGGCTTAGGGGGCATTAGGGGAGGGGCTTCCCCACAGTTTGTTGCAACAGCCACCTGGCTCAACCAGGAATGTTCCAAAGTCATCCAGATAATTTCCCAGATGACCACTCAGTCATGTGGTGTCCTACTACCCATGGGATACAGCCTAAACTTTTTATCATAGGAGGAATAATTTCTAGTGTCTGACAGCACAGTAGGATAACTACAGTTAGCACTAATTTTTAATATATTTTAAAATAGATAGAAGAGATGGCTTTAAATTCTCCCAACACAAAGGAAATTTTTCAAACACAAAGAAAATAATATCCATGTTTGAGGTGATGGATATTCTAATTACCCTGATTTGATCACTGTACATTGCATGCATGTATCAAAATATCACTCATGCACCACAAATATATACTATTATTATGTATCAACAAAGGGAAAATTGCTAAAAGTGGCTCCCAACTAAAAAAAAAAAGTCAATTTCTAAGTCACAGAAAAAGATGCTCACTTTAAATTGTAAGTTCTGTGACAGAATGTAAAGGTTTGCATAGTCACTTTTACAGTCCCAGACTATCATGCATAGAACTGCCTGGCCCCGTGTGTATGTACACACAGAGATACAACCATGCTTCTCTAGTGGGGCATTTTTTTCTCCCTGAAACATTTGCCAATGTTTGGAAACCTGTCTTGCTGTCTGGTTATTTTAGTAAATTGATTATGACTGTAATTAGGCCCAATTTAGTGACTGTAATTAGGCCCACTTGCTGTCTGCACATAGATGATCAGGGGCAAGTAGTCGAAGATATAGTTAAAGACATGATGAAACTGGCACATGTGCCAGTACAAGTGTGGCACCGATTTGACACTGAGGCCATGTTTGAAAATGGTTCCCGGCACTAGAAGGATTTAAAACTCTTATAATGGAAACTATAGTAGTAATAGGAACCTGCTTACTGATCTCTTGCTTACTAGCTGTACTCATTCAAGTGGTAAAAGTTTTCATGGCAACTCTAGTTCACCAGAACGCTTCAGCACGAGTGTACTACATGAATCACTATCAATCTGTGATAGAGGAAGACATAGGTAGTGAGGAAGAAGGTGAGAACTCCCACTAATAAAATGAGTGAGAGTCTCAAAGGGGGAAAATAAGGGAGGAGACCAAACCTCATATTGTCTTATACCCAATTTCTGCCTCCAAAGAAAGAAGAAGTAAAAACTAGAAGGCAGAAATGAAATCCACAAGCAGACAGCCCAGCGCCACACCCTGGGCCTGGTAGTTAAAGGTCAACCCCTGACCTAATCGGTTATTTGCATAAAAAATGCACTGTGAAGATCCCTGTCCTGTTCAGTACCTTTCTAATTACCAGTGTATGCAGCCCCCAGTCACATACCCACTGCTTGCTCAATAGATCGTGACCCTCTCATGCGGACCCCCTTAGAGTTGTGAGCCCTTAAAAGGGACAGGAATTGCTCACTCGGAGGGTTCAGCTCTTGGGAAAGAAGTCTTGCTGAAGCTCCCAGGTGAATAAACACCTTCTTTCTTTAACTCAGTGTCCAAGGGGTTTTGTCTGCCGCTCTTCCTGTTACATTGGGAGAGGCCAATGTGGGCAGCGACATGGGGAGGCACAGATCCCTTAGTGGTGGCTGTGTGCTCTGAGGCGAATGTGGGGAAAATCAGACCTAAGATGCTTCATATGGCTGATAGTACCAGCTTTACAGCTGCAGCAGTCTGCGACAGGGGAAGGCATGGTCCTGGCTAAGCAGCATCTGAAACTCCCGCAATAGGACCAGGTCTGGTGGACTCAAGAGTGAAAGTCAGAGTGAAAGTGAACTGCAAGAGAGGAAATGAGAGTGAAAACATCAAAAGTGGCTCCTTTGAAAAGCATAATAAAGAATTTTAAAAAAAGAGTTAGAGGTGATTATAGGATGAAACTGAGTGTTCAAAAGTTAAGGACATACTGTGAATTAGAATAGCCCTGTTTTAGTGTCAGATGGCTTGCCAAAGGCACTATAGAAAAATTGGCCGTGTGTTTTAAGGTGGTGACTAGGGTCAGAGAACAGCCAGGACATTCAGACCTAGTCTTTATATTGACTCATGGCTAAATGAATGCAGCCCTGCCTAGCAGTTTACTGTAGAATGCTCGCAGCTCACGGCAAGAGAAAATCAGCTGCTCTGGCAGCTACAGAGTTAAAAGGAGACACAGAGGCTTGTAGCACCTCCCAGCCAAAAGTGAAAGTAAAATCAGCTGCCCCAGCAGCTGAAGACAAATGAAAAAATCTCAGAAAAGGCAGAAAAACCGGTTTTGTCACAACCACAGAAAAGAATAGAGACCGCTCCTCCTTACATTCCAATCTACCCCCTTTACCAAGGTAACTGTCCCTAAGGAGTTAAGTTCAAATGGATACATGCTGCCAGTCTCACCCGAGAAGGTGAAATGAGAGCGAAAATCAGGCAGGCCGTCTCAGGTCTGGTCGTGCATAAGATATGCTCATGCCTCTTAAGAGGACAGGAGGACCCCCACTAAGACCCAGATGATGCAGTCCAGATTCAGCACCTGCAAAGGTGCCGAGAAGCCCATCTGCAAAGGCTAAAGGATGGTAAAAGAAAAAGGCAATCAATATTTTAAAAAATCTCAGACATGCTTCAGGGTGCAGATAAAAGCACAGCAAGTTCTATGAAAGACTTTGTGAGGCATTTTTATTGTACACTCCGTTTAACCCTGAGGCTACTCAAAAATAAGTGCAGGGTGAATCCAGCACTTGTAAGGCAGACCCAAGGAGATATCAGGCATAAATTGCAGAAGTTACAAGCTCCGTAGGCGTGAATGCTACTCAGCTTATTAAAGTGACAACCAAGGTGTTAATTAACCGAGATGAGGAGGCAAAGGAAAAGGCTGATCACAGGCTTAAGAAAGGCTAACTTACTAGCAGCAGCCCTTCCGGGAAGAGGAGCTGGCTTTACAAGGAGGCATGGACGCGGGCGTGAACGTAGTCATGAAAAAGGCTAGTCTGGACAGGAGTGTGAAGGCCAGCCGAGGCTAGAGAGAGATTAATGTGCATGGTGCAAAAGGAAAGACACTGGAAGCATAAATGTCAAAGAAATAATGAAAATGATCAGGGCAATAGTAAAAGAAACAAAAAACAAACCAAAAAAACCCAAAAAAACAGAACCAAAAAATCACACACACACACCAGCCAAGGGCTACTACACGCAGAAGAAACGCAAGAACCACTGCACCTGCTGTAGAAGGCAGAATAAAAAGTGTCAGAAAAAAGCTCAAATCTCCTCTAAAAGTGTCTAATATTTAAGCTTTTATATAAGCCAAGAGGAAAGATGGCTTAGTCCTGAAAAAAAGCAGGCTGTTTGTGCACTTTCTACTCCAACCACCCGGTGTCAAGTAAGAGAGTTTCTAAGAGCAGCAAGGTTCTGCCGCGTTTACAACCCAAATTTCTTGCTCATGGTCAAGCCATCATACCAAGCCACTAAGAGGAGGAAAAAAGGAGCCCCTCCTCTAGGAGGCCAAAGAGGAGAAGGATTTTAAAGAAATCAAAGAAGCCTTGACTCAGGCCCCAGCTTTAGGACTGCCAGATCTAACTAATCAAGCTTTTCTTCTTGTATGTGCACAAGTGAAAGGGAGGCCATAGGGGTTCTGACTCAAGCCATAAGGTCATGGCATCGCCTGGTGGCATATTTATCCAGGCAATTAGATTCTTTTGCACTTGGATGGCCTCCTTGTCTTAAAGCACTAGCAGCCACTGCCGTACTGGTGCAGGAAGCTAGTAAACTAACTTTAGAGACTGTGAATACCCTAAATCCGGCTACCTTACTCTCATCGAGTCAGTGCCAGGAGGACCGTTTCATTGTGGTGTGGACGTGGTAGATGAAGTGTTCTCAAGCCAGAGAGATTTGACAGATCAGTCCCTCAGGGACCCAAACATTGAATATTCTACTGATGGAAGCAGTTTCATACTAAAAGGAGCCCGCCAAGCTGTGTATGCAGTGGTGACTTTAGACTCAACAGTAGAGGTGCAGTCTTCATCTACAGAAACTTCTGATTAGAAAGCAGAACTAAGAGCTCTGACAAGAGTTCTCTGGCTAGCAAAAGACCAAAAGACCAATATTTATACAGGTTCCAAATATGCTTCTGCCACTTTGCATGTTCATAAGGTTATTTACAAAGAAAAAAAGAAGACTTTTAACTGCTGGAAACAAAGAAATAAAGTACAAGGAAGAAATCCTACAGCTCTTAAACGCTGTATGGGCCCCAAAAGTGACGGTAGTGAAGTCCTGCAAGAGGCAGCAAAAAGCAAGAACACTAAGGGCTAAAAAAGATACGAAGGCAAAGAGGCAAAGAAGGCTGCAATGACAACTCCACCTAAAGAAGACGCCTTAGCTATGCCTCTCCTCCCGGAGATTCCCCTCCTGGAGATCGCAATCTTCACTCCAAATAACAGAGCTTGGCTTCCCCAGGAAAATAAGAACTACATTGAAAGAGGATAATACAAATTCTTCAATGGGAGGCTAGCCATACCTGAAATGGTGACCCCCAGATTTGTAAAACAATTCCACCACCGAACTCAGATTAAAAAAAAAATAAAGACATTATTAAGGCATCATTTTTATCTGCCATGGCTCATTGCTATTACTCGGGCCATTTGTAAACTGTGTTTAACTTACACTCGGAACAATCCACGACAAGATCCTACTCGGCCCATGGGAGTTCAGGAAAAAGGAGCCATGCCCTGTGAAAAACTGCTAATGGACTTCACTGAATGACCCTGAGACGGGGGCTATCAGTACATATTGGTGTTCATTTGCACCTTTTCAGGATAGCTCAAGGCCTTTCCCACCAGGACAGAGAGGGCACTAGACGTGACCAAGGCGTTAAGAGACATTGTTTCCAGATTTGGGCTGCCTCTAACTCTAAGATCAGAGAATGGACCAACATTTGTGGCTAAAATAGTTCAGGACTTAACTCGACTATTAAAAATAAAATGGAAATAACATACAGCCTACAGGTAGCAGATCTCAGGTAAAGTGGAGAGCATAAACTGGACACTCAAGCAGCTGTTGAAGAAATTTTGTCGAAAAACTCATCTGAAGTAATATCAGGTCTTGCCCATGGTCCTCTTATGAGTCAGGTGCACCCCCACCAAAAAACTGAGTATTCGCCCTCTGAGATTTTGTTCAGCTGCCCACCCCCCATAAAAATCAGATTCAGGGTAATCTCTGTAAATTGGGAAAACTAACTTTAAGAAGGCAAATGCAGGCTTTAAGTATGGCTATACTAAAATGTATGGTTAAGTATGTAAACAAATGCCTATAAGTCTAACAGACCCAGTACACCCTTTCAAACCTAGGGACTTCGTTTAGGTAAAAAATGGAATTCAACCACTCTAGGACCCATATACGATAGGCGCCATATTGTAATCATGTCCACTCCCACTGCTGTTAAAGTTGCAGGTGCCACACCTTGCATTCACCATAGCCATCTAAAACCAGTGACAGTAGCGAGTCCTGATGACAACCTGTGGATTAGCCAACAAGACCCAGATTGCCCCACTCGAATAGCCCTATGGCAAATCTCAGCCACCGGTAAAAAGGACAACCACCCTGCTCTGACCACACTGGAGGCTGGTCAGTCTAAGCATGGCTGAAGCTTAAGGATTCTTCAAACTCTGCTCTAGTCACATCCCGGAAGCTGACTAGTGTACACACAGCCGAAGCTAAGAGGACCATGTCCAGATAAGTAAATGTGAATACAATTTATAACCATAGTTACAATTCTGTCAATACTGATTGTTCCGTTGTTATGTTATTACTGCAAATGCTGCAAATGTCTATGCCCAGAGGAAAGTTTTTGTGCCCATGTGTAGTGTAAGCATGTTTCTATTACATACAACAATGTTGTTACCATTTATGCTTATACTGAAAGGGGATAAATCTCTTGAAGGATGTCCATGCTGTGTACACATTACCTGGATAAAAAATACCACAGTTAAAACTCTACTGTACCATACCTACTATGAATGTACAGGAAGCAAATTAGGAATATGCACATACAACCAGACCACCTATTCAGTCTGTGACTGAGGAAATAATCAGCTATATGTATGTTATGAGCCTGGGCTCTTACCCTATTAATTCTATTTTGAGGTACATATTAAATCAGAGGGAGAAACAGAAGGAAAGCTTATAGCTCAAACCAAAGAAATCCCACCCTTCTAAAAAGGGCCTATTTCTTCTTTGATGACTGCCATGCCACGTATGTTCATAATCCTAAAAACCAGATTGTAAGACAAGGACATGCGATCCTTTAAATTTTACTATCTTAAAGCCAGAGCTACCTTTTTGGTCTACAGGACAGACAGCACTATTACGAGTTGATAGACAAGGAGCAGGTCTTGGAGTTCCACTACTAATTGTCAAAAATACTATAAGGACTCAAATGCATCCAACCCCTCAATACCAAGTCATTCTGTAAGCATTTTGATCAGCCAGTGCCCGAGGTTCCCCCATCAACCAAAAACTTATTTGCTCAACTAGCTGAAAACACAGATGGCAGCTTAAAAATTTCTTCATGCTATGTATGTAGAGAAACTAATATGGAGAATGAGTGGCAATGGGAGGCAAAGGAATTAATGCCACAAGATAACTTCACTTTGCTTAACCCTGCCAGTGAACCAACAGCCTCAGCCAGTGTTTGATTGTTAAAAATCTCCATAACTGGAAAGTACTGTATCACTCGATGGGGAAAGGCTTTCACAGAGGCAGTAGGAAAAACAACCTGCCTAGGGCAACAGTATTATTACGAGACTAAAAACAAAACTCTATGAAGAAATGCCCAGAATGACTCCTACTTACCAGATCCAAACACTTTCTCTGGATTCCTTACTCTAAGCTGCACTTGGCATCAGGTAGATGATTCAAATGCTTGAAAGGCACCCTCTGGCCTATATTGGATCTGTGGAGCATGGGCATATTGGCAACTGCCAGCAAAATGGGCAGGGGCATGTCTGTTAAAAGCAATCAAGCCATCCTTCTTTCTAATTCCTCTAAAGCAAGGGAAATTCTTAGAATATCCAGTTTATAATAAAAATAAAAGAAGAACTAGAAAAAGCATAATCACAAAAGTAACAAAAATATCAAAAAAGATGTGGACACAGGAGACTAAAAAGGTAATAAATGACCTCCTGAAAGAATCATGACATGCTATGGGCCAGCTACCTAGGTGCAAGACAGGTCATGAGGGTACTGCACCATAATCTATATCCTCAGCCGCATCATGAAGTTGCAGGCAGTCCTTCAAATCATAACCAATGAAATATCGAGGGCACTAGATTTATTGGCAATACAAGCAACACAAAAAGGAAATGCTATATATCAAAATAGGCTGGCTTTAAATTATCTCTTATCCTCCGAAGGAGGAATATGTAGAAAATTTAATTTAACCAACTGTTGCCTAGAAATCAATAGCCAAGAAATCAATATTAGTGGTCATAAAAATTACAGTTAGAATGCACAAGTTGGCCCAGGTTCCACTTCAGACTTGATCCAGGTAGTCCCCGGATTCCTTGTTTGGAGGATGGTTCTCAGCATTTGAAAAATTCTAAACCCTCATTAGTAGGTTCTTGCTTATTCTTTGCATCTGCCTTATCCTCCCTTGCCTTTTGTCTCTGTTTATTAGGAGTATTCAGTCAACTATGGAGGCAATGGTAGCCCAAAACACTACTGTACAGTTGATGCACTAACCAGATATCAGCCACCGCCAGAAGAAGAAAAAGCTCACCTCCATGAAGACTTGGCAAATAATGGTGCTTTCTATTAACACCTCTGTTATAAAAAGCACCAATGGGGAGAATGGAACAGGAATTATAAGAGATTAAAGAGTGTGTAAGCAGAAACTCACTTGTGTGTAAGAAAACCCAACTTCTGTTGAGAAAGAGTAAGAGCTGGAGTCCTTTAAAAACTAACTGCCTGTTTTTCTGTGGCTAGTGATCCTTATCTCTCCTCCTTTCCCAGGAATTCTGAAGACCCTGTTTCCCAAGCTGTGAAGCTGCAAGGTCACTAGACAGATAAATTCAAGTCACAAAACAGGTTTTTCCTTGAAAAGTAAGAAATAATGCAATGCATGTCTCAATTGAATAACTGTCTTTGTTTCTTGCTTCTGTAGTATGATTCTCCCTGCACAAATCTCTCCCCACCCATGAAATGCTTAAAAGGTAACTTAACTCTTTGTTCAGGACTCATTCTTTGGATGTTAATCCGACTGGACCAATGCACCTAAATAATTAATAAATACCCTCCTGAACCCCATCGGCCTCTCTGATTTCTTAAAATTCCACTACATACAGACTTCTCTACTATTGACCCCCACATTCTTTTCTTCCACACAGGAAGTCCACATATAAAATCGTGTGTGAAACTATTCTATTTGAGGTGTATTTCTGTGCCCTAGGATCCAGGTAATCCCTTACATTTTAAATTCTTGCTTTTTTTGTGGCTCACAGTATGATGTTATCAAAAATTAGGCAAATATTCTGATACTTTCTTAATTTTACAAGGGGAGAATTGTCCTTAGATAATTACATTCTGGAAAGGCCATAATGAGCAACTCTGGACCTGATTGATTGTCATTTTTGGATCCACTGCAGGGCTGCATACTAAGGGACAGTGGTCATTCTGAGTTCATAGAAAAAACCTGACATGAGAGGGGACATTTTGCTAGACATGCCACCTGGTGCACAGAGCTGAAAAATGAGACCTGCTGGTGACGTGCTTATCAAGCTTAGGGTCTTGAGGGCTTTTTAAATTCCGTGCTTTAAAAGCTGGCCTCACATCCTGAGTTCAGAAAAACCAAAATTTTTTGTTTTCTATAGACTTTTTGGTTGAAAATCCCTTTTCCATGGACTTTTAAACTAGTTATTTACAGCACAAGGCCCATGTCTAGTAACAAAGGTGTCAGCCATCTTCAAAATGTGTTTTTACTAATACTTTATTTTTAAGCTTTATTAACTAAAGATATATTTATTTATAGTCACTTTGAGTCTCCAGGATAAATATCAGTCTTAAATTGTTATTTCTCATAAAGTCTTGGAGGTTGCTAAGTTCTACTGTTTTGCACGTAAAAAATCAAGAAACTCTTTAGTACAATATTAGAGAATACTTGTATTTACTTAGATTTTATAGTACTATTTTTATTTTTCTCTTTATTTCTTAGATATAGGTACTCAAATTTCTACAAACTGACAACATAATATGCTTACTTGAAAATATTACCAGAATAATTGAAGTTGATAATTAAAAATGAAAGATAAAAAATATGAGAATTGCTGAAGCCTTGTGGTGGGTATGTATGATAAATGTTAGTTTATAATTCTCCCTATGTTTGCTAAGATTTTTTATTTTCATAATATCTTTTAAATATATAATTTAAGAATTTTATGGAAACTTTCACATACTGTATATTAGCCTTGTTTTACAATAAAACAAGTCAAACATCTTCTCACATGTTTTATCAATATATTTAGGAGTTCAATATTGAATTTGAGTGTTGAAATTGGTTACAAATGAGGGACAAAAGAGCAGCTTTCTAATTGGCCATACACTAAAAGTACCAGCAACTGTGGACAGGGGTGCCACTAACACACTTTATTTAACATTTTTGCTGTGAGTCATTTTTGATAAGGAATATTTTAACCCTATGATGACATCATAACAAGTTTCTAATAATCAGTGACTCAGAGTGGTCTTCAATAGTGTACTATTATTTAATTTACATTTCTGGCCTGGTAAATCTAAGCAGGTAATTTATGTCTATTAATACATTTTACAATTGTAATTTTTTTCTTATAACTATTTGCCATGAAGATTTTAATGTTATAACTATATCTTTGTCTTTTCCTCTTTATTTAACATGCCTTGAGATGAACAATAAATGGGTTTGGTTTTACAGTCTGTGACTTAGTTCTCCAAAAGTCAACAGTTTCATTTGGAAACATTTTAGAGGGATATAATTTTATAACAAAACCATCACATGTTTTAAGTGTACAATTCCAAGTTTTTAAAGTGTATTTACAGACACCCATAACCACAATCTAATTTTGAAATAACCTTATCACTATGGAAAAAGAAATTAATCTCTTTTGTACTTACTGATTTCATTACCCTGGTCATAGGCAATCATTAGCCTGTTTTTATATATAAGCCTTTTATTAAAAGTTATTTTAAGTGAAATCATAAATTATCTGCCCTTTTGCATTTGGTTTATTTTACTTACTTTAGTGATTTTGAGGTTTTTTCCTGACATAGCAGGTATTATTACTTCATTTTCTTTGTTTGGCACATAGTATTTTATTGTATGGACACACCACACGTTATTTTTTCTGTTATTATTTGATGGATATTTTGGTTTTATCCCCTTTGGGCTATTACAAATACTGCTGCTTTGATCATTTACATCTGATTCTTTGTGTAGTCATAGGTTTTCATTTCTTTTGAGTACGTAACAGAGTAAAATGTCTCAGTCATATGGTGATACTATTTATAGCATTTTGAATAATTGCCAAATTGTTCTTTAAATCGGTTGTTTTTTACACTCCCACATACAATGTGTGAGGCTTTCATATTTTTGATATCTTTGGCAACCTTTTTTATTGCCTTTTACAGGTCTTCTAGTAAGTATGTCATTGAGCTTTTGATTTGCATTTCTCTAAACTAATAATGTCACATATTTTAAATTTAATGACAAATTTTGCTTCTTATCTGTAGAAATTTTTAATTCAAATTCCTTGCACATTTTTCAAGTAGTCAATTGTCTATTTATTATTGATTTATAAGACTTTGTGTATTTGAGCAAGATGGCTGAATAGACAAACCAAGGTGGAACAGCTGACAGCAAGGGACCAGGATGACTGGCACACTCTTAACGGAGGGCAGGTACTGATAGTGGATGGCGGAAAGACACAAAATCTGAACTTAAGATTGAGAAGCTGGGAACCCTGCACAGGGCTAAAGCACAGTGGAACAGATTTCTGGCCCCCAGTGACTCTGAGAAAAACAGGTGAGTTTAAGTGGCAAGGAGCTACCTGCTTTCCTGACTGGCCTCTGGAATCCCACTGGCAGAGACCCTCTGACCATCATGGAAAATGAGTTGAAAGGAAGAGCTGCTTAGAGAAGTGACAGGGGCAGCACACCAGCCAGTGCACAGCCAAGAGGGTTTATTGTGGGAACATGTGTAGTGAAGCATGTCCAGGGATGCCCACACCAATAAGCTTAACTTGCTCCCATAAGAGACGTTAGCCCTAGGGGAAATTTTGGAGAAAAAGTCTGCAGGGTGGTGGCCCATCAGATGGGGCTGTTTTGACCTGAGCTTGCGTTGGTGTGCTGGCCTCTCCTGTGACCCCAATTCGGCCCTGCATGCTTGCAGTGCAGCCTTGAGTACCCTGGGGGCCTGCATCATAGATCCTGAACTGGCAGATCATGTCTGACTAGTAGACAGCTCCAGTGGGGTGACCCCATCCAGGCATCAGCCTGCCTGCTGCCTCTCCTCACTGCAGCTTCCCCCCAAGGCCCATTGCCACCCCACACATCACTATGCTGGTGTGTGTGTGTGTGTGTGTGTGTGTGTGCATGGAAGGATCTTGCTTTCCTTGCCCTGTCAGTGCACATGTGCATATGCATTCTGCCCTGGCACTGCTGTTGGTAGGAGTGTACTCCAGGCCCCCTCTCCTGCTATACCACCACTGCAGACAGAATCTTGGAGGAAACAGAGGCCATCAGCCCCACAACACCAGCACCCTGCTCCTTTGTCAACACTGTCATTTGAGTACAACTAAGCACAAAAAACAGCATACTCTCCTCAGCCCTGAGCAGCCACCTTCGCCTGCATGAATACACACAAAACCACTCGACTGAGCCAACCTTATAACACAATTAAACCCTTAAGGTCATCAAGCAGAATAAAAGGAAAAATCCAAAAGTTGACAACTTCAAATATTAAAGAAATATCATCCCAGAAAGATAAGAAAGAACAAGCACAAAACCTCTGACAACTCAAAAAACCTGAGTTCCTCTTTTCCTTCAAATGGCCACACTACCTCTCCAGTAAGGTTATAAATCAGTCCAAGATAGCTAAAATTACAGAAATCAAATTCAGAATATGAATAGAAATAAAGATCATTAAAATGCAGAAGTAACTTGAAACTCAATTCAAAAACGTTAAGAATCATAATGAAATGATACAGGAGCTGAGAGACAAAAGAGCAAGTATTAAGAGCATAACTAACCTGAGAGAGCTAAAAATATCACACTAAATTTTTTTTATAAGAAATTCACAACTATTAATAGTAGAATAGACAAAGCTAAGAAAGAATCTCAAAGTTTGAAGACTGTTTATGTGAAGTCAGACATACAGACAGAAATAAAAAAGAGTAATAAAAACCCCCAAGCCTCTGAAAAATATAAGATTATGTAAAGAGACCAAAGGTATGACCCACTGGTGTTCATGAAACAGGTGGGGAGAATGGAAGCCATTTGAAAAACATATTTTAGGATATCATTCATGAGAACTTCCCCAACCTGGGGAATGCTGGCTAGAGAGGCCAGCATTCAAATTTAGGAAATGCAGAAAACTCCAGTAAGATACTTCATAATATAATAATCACCAAAACACATAGTTATCAGATTGTTCAAGCATGAAATAAAAGAAAAAATGACAAATGCAGCTAGAGAGGAAAGGGAGGTCAACCACAAAGGAAAGATTATCAGTGTAAAAGTACACCTTTTAGCAGAAATCCTACAAGCCAGAAGAGACCAATACCAATATTTAACCTCCTTGAAGAAAATAAATTCCAATCAACAATCTCGTATTTGGCCAAACTAAGCTTCATAAGTAAAGGAGAAATAAAGTTCTTTTTAAACAGGCAAATGCTGAGGAAATTCATTACTACAAGACATGCCTTACAAGAGCTCCTGAAGGAAGAACTAAATATAGGTGAAAAAAACCTTTATTAGCCACTAAAAAAACACACTGAGGTATACAGACCAGTTGCGCACAAACAAGTCTGCATAATAAGCAGCTACCATTATAATGGCAGCATCAAATGCACACATATCAACACTAACTATGAATGTAAATGGGCTGAATGTTCCAATTAAAAGGCAAACAGTGGGAAACTGGATAAAGAACAAAGAACCAATGATATGCTGTCATCAAGACTCATTTCACATGCAATCAGTTTCACAGGCTGAAAATGACGGGATAAAAAATCTACCAAGCAAATGGAAAACAGCAGAAAGAATGGGTTGCAACCCTAAGTTTAGACAAACAGACTTTAAAACAACAAAGATTTAAAAAGGCAAAAAGGCATTACAAAATGCTAAAGGGTTAAATTCAACAAGAATATATGTATTCAAATTTAAATATATACATTTTAAATATATACACACCCAACACAGGAATACCCAAATTCATAAAGCAAGTTCTTAGAGGTCTTTAAAAAGACTTAGATTCCTACACAATTATAGTGAAAAACTTCAACAACCCATTGACAATATTAGATTATTAAGGCAGAAAATTAACAAGATATTCAAGATCTGAATGCAGCACTGGATCAAATGGATGTAACAGACACTTTCAGAACTCTCCACCAAAAACAACAACATATACGTTCTCATTGCCACATGGCACATACTCTAAAATCAACCACTTAATCGACATAAAACTGTTCTCAGAAATTATAAAAGAATTCAAATTATGACAACCACTCTCCGAGACCAGAGTACAGTAAAATTGGAGGTAAAAGTTGAGAAAACCAATACTCAATACCATATGATTACATAAAAATTAAATAACTCACTCCTGAATGACTTTTGTGTGAATAATGAAATTAAGGCATCAATCAAAAAGTTATTTGAAAGTAATGAGAACAAAGACACAACCTACCAGAATCCCTGAGATGCAACTAAATCAGTGTTGAGAAAAAAACTGATGTTGCTGAACACCCACCACAAAAAGTAACAAAGATCTCAATTTAACCACTCAATATCACAACTAAAACATCTAGAGAATGAAGAGCTATCCAACCCCAAAGCTGGAAGAAGACAGAAATAACCAAAATCAGAGATAAACTGAGATTAGGACACACACAAAAAAACTAAAAGATTAATGAATCCAGGAGTAGGTTTTGTTTTAAATGTGGACTACTAGCTAGACTAATATAGAGGAAAAGAGAGAAGATCCAAACAAAGACAATCAGAAACAACAAAGGGGATATTACCACTGGCTCCTCAGAAATAGAAATAAACATCGGAGAATATGATGAACACCTTTATGCAAAAAAACTACAACACCTAGAACAAATAGATAAATTCCTGGACATGTACACCTTTCCAAGACTGAACCAGGAAGAAATTGAATCCCTGAACAGACCAATAACATGCTCCAAAATTGAATCTGTAATAAATAAACTATCAATTTTAAAAAGCCCAGGAAAAGACGAATTCCCAGCCAAATTCTACTGGATATGCAAAGAAGAATTTGGTATCATTCCTACTGAAACTCCCAAAAATTTGAGGAGGATCATCTTCCTCACCCATCCTATGAGGCCAGCACCCTTCTGATATCAAAACCTGGAAGAAAAGCAAAAGAAAGAAAAATTTCATATCTTTGATGAATATTGATGCAAAAATTCTCCATAAAATACTGGCAAACCAAATCCAGCAGCACACCAAAAAACCTATCCACCACAATCAAGTAGGCTTTTTCCCTGGGATGCAAGGTTGGTTCAACATATGCAAATCAATAAATGTGATTCATAATACAAACAGAACGAAAGACAAAAACCTCATGATTATTGTAATAGATGCAGAAAGAGCTTTCATTAAAATTCAAAACCACTTTATGTTAAAACTCTCCATATACTAGGTATTGAGGAAACATGCTTTGAAATAATAAAAGTCATCTATGACAAACCCACAGCCAACTTTATACTGAATGGGTGAAACTGGAAGCATTTTTCTTGGAAACTGGCACAAGACAAAGATGCCCTCTCTTACCAGCCCTGTTCAACATAGTATTGAAAATCCTGGCCAGAGCAATCAGACAAGAGAAAAAAATAAAGGCATTCAAATAAGAGGAGAGGAAGTCAAACTACCCATTTGCAGATTGTATTAGTCAGTGTTCTGTGTTTATGGATTGGAAGAATCAATATTAAAATGTCCATGCTACACAAAGCAAGCTACAGATTCAACGCAATTTCTGTAAAAATACCATTGACATTCCTCACACAAATAAATACAACAGCTCTAAAAAATCTTAAATTTATATGTAATCACAAAAGACCTAGAATAGCTAAAGCTATCCTGAGCAAAAAGAATAAAACTGGAGGAATCCCATTACATAGCATACATTATTACATTACACAAAATTATACTACCGATGTGTAGTAACCAAAACAGCATAGTACTGGCATAAAAACAGACACACAGGAAAATGGAGCAGAATAGAGAACCCAGAACCAAACCATCCATCTACAGTGAACTCATTTTTTACATAGGCACCAAGAAAATATATTAAGAATAAAAACTCAGTCTCTTCAATAAACAGTGATGGTAAATCTGGATATCCATATGCAGAGGAATAAAACTAGACCTCTATCTTTTGCCATGTGCAAAAACTAAATCAAAATGGATTAAATATTTAAATGTAAAACTGCAAACTATGAAACTTCTGAAAGAAAACATTGGGGAAATTCTAAAAAACCTTGGATTAAGCAAAGATTTCTTGAGTAACACCTCACAAGCACAGGCAACCAAAGCAAAATGGAAAATTGGTATCACACCAAGTTATAAAATTTTGCATGACACAGAAAAGAATCAACAAAGTCAGAAAACAACCCACAGAATGAAAGAAAATATTTTCAAACTACCTATCTGAAAATGGATTTGTAACCAAAACATAGAAGGCGCTCAAATAACTCTATAGAAAATAAAATCTAATAATCCTATTTTAAAAAATAGGCAAAATATGTAAACAGACATTACTCCGATAAAGACACGCAAATGGCAAATAGGCATATGAAAAGTTGATCAACATCATGAATCATCAGAGAAATGCAAATCAGAATTACAATGAGCTATTACCTCACCCCAGTTAAAGTGGGTTTTAGCTAAAAGGCAATAACAAATGCTGACAAGCATGCGGAGAAAAGGGAACCCTCATATGCTGTTGGTGGGAATGTAAGTTGGTGGAACCACTATGGAGAACAGCTTGAAGTTTCCTCAGAAAACTAAAAATAGAGCTTCTGTACAATCCAGCAATTTCACTGTTAGGTATATATCCAAAAGAGAGAAAAATCTGTGTATCAAAGTGATAGCTGTACTCCTGTGTTTATTGCAACACTATTCACAATAGCCAAGATTTGGAAGTAACATAGGTGTTTATCGACAGATGAATAAACAAAAAAGTGGTACATATACACAATGTAGTACTATTCAGACATAAAAATGAATGAGATTCTGTCATTTGTAAAAACATGGGTTAAACTGAAGGTCATTTTATTAAGTGAAATAAGCCAGGTATAGAAAGACAAACTTCACACGTTCTCACTTATTTGTTAAAGCTAAAAATTAAAACCAAAGAATTAATGGAGATAAAGAGTAGAATGATGGTCTCCAGAGGCTGAGAGAAGTAGTAGAAGGTTGAGGGCGGGGAGGTGGGAATGGTTAATGGGTATAAAAATATAGTTAGAAAGAATGAATCAGTTCTAGCATTTGACAGCACAAGGTGACTCTAGTTAAGAATAATTTAAGTGTACATTTTAAAATAACAGAAATTGTATAATTTGGTTATTTGAAATCCAATAGTAATACTTCATGTGATGAATACCCCATTAACTCTGATGTAATTATTACACATTGTATGACTGTATCAAAATATTCTATATACTTCATAAAGGTATACACCTACTATGCACCCAGAAAAACCAAAAATAAAAAAATTAGGATATACTTTAAGACAACAAATACTATTACTAGAGATGAAGATAGATTATAATTAGAAGGATAAATTCATAAGGAAAATAAATTAACATATATGAATGTAACAAAAGTTCACAGAAGTACATAAAGCAAAACTGATAGAAATAAAGGCAGAAATAGTTGCAACAATAGTTTCAACAATAAAAATTGCAAGCTTCACTTCCCCACTTACACTATTGGGTAGAAGAACTAGACATAAGAGAAACAAGGAAATAGAAGACATGAATAACATAAACCAAATAAAACTAGAGATATATGGAGAACTCTTCACCCCAAATCAGAATGTATATTCTTCCCAAATGCACATAGAACATTCTCTAGAATGGAGAATATGCTGCATCATAAAAAAAATCAATAAAATTGAAAGATTGAAATAATAAAATGAATGTTTTCTAATCACAAAAGAGAAAATTAGAGACCAAAAAAGCAAGAAATTTGGGAAATGCAAACATGTGTGCATTAAATGACACAATCTTAAATAATTAATGAATAAAAAATGTACAAATAGTGTCAGAGAATATTTTAACATAAATAGACATTTAGACAAAACATAATAAAATTTATGAGACTTAGTGAAAGTTGAGCTCTGAGGGAATCAGCAGAATTACTTTATAAAAAACAAAGAAATCTTAAATTAATAGCTTAACGCTTATGGAAGCATTTAAATAAAAATGAACTACCCAGTTCACCTGGAGCAAACACTATCAGTGGGGTAAAAAGGTAGTCACGCTGACAATCGTAGGAGGAAATACTTGGAAACAAGACACTGAGAATTAGGATAGTGATAGTACTCCTTGGAATCTAGAAAAAAATGGGGATGCTCTAGGCTAGACAGATTCTCAGGAAAAACGCTAAAACACTAAGCTCCCACCTGTTTGTCTTTTAATCTCTGCATGAACAGAAAGTATAGGCACAAGCAGAGTTAGGACTTTATGGCACACATAGAGATTCTAGATGAAAGGATCAGAAGATTCATATTTTGAGAGGGCTAAAATATCTACAGTCTTGCTGTCCTATTAAAGTTTAGTGAAACTATATTGCAGATTCGCATTGCTCACTTCTTCCAGTAATCCAGTGATCTAGTAAAGCTTGATTTTGCCATTTGAATCCTCTGATAAATGAAGTCAGCCTCTAACTTGAGGTACTTTTTGGGATGTTGGAGTTATGGTCACCATGACGTTACTATTGGTTACACTAATTTGTAAGTCAACAATGAGCTTGCTACAGAGCTGTGAAACTGAATTCTGACCCCTGAGGGAGGTCGTTAGCTTGATCTTTCTGTTTTTAGATGGGTCGATTTGAACTCTATGAAAAAGACCACAGGAGGCCACTTGGTAAATAGAAATAACATATTCTAGAAGGAAATTAGACTAAAATAGAAACGGCACTAAAGTAAAAATTAAAATTCATATTCGGTAGAAATTTTATGCCACCCTCTACTATCTCAAGCAAACTTTCTGACTCTGTGGGACTCCCCAATTTACTGAATATTTTCTAAATATCTGTTCCTGGTTCACTAATGGGCCAGGGAAGATGACACCTCATGGTGTTCACTGGGCTGGTGTGGGTGTTTGATCTCATTGTCAGCCAATGAAGAACCTGAATCTGGGGTGATTACTTCACTCAATTGTCAGAACTGAGAGTTCCGGGTTATTGCCACATTCTACGTGTTTAGGCTTCCATATTGAAAATGATTAACTGTCTAATTAAGAACATCTTCTTTGGGGCTGCAAACTGAAATTTATCTTAGCTGCTGATCTAATTGTCAGGCCATTAATTTAGAAGTTCACAATTAGGGTTATGTCTCCAAAGAGATGAACAACAATCAAGCCTAAATCCCTGTCTACTGCAGAGGTCATCACTGCATGCCAGGTTGGTGGTTCTTGGAGAAAGTTGATCTACGTGTCCCATGTATGGGGAAGTCCCAGACCATTTCTGGCAGAATGACTGTCTTAGACTTTTGACCCGTTACTTGAAGTATTTGTCACTACTGTTGACACTTTCAGCATAAAGATCAGCTGACTCCAGCCACATTATGTGTTACTTGAAGCTAATCCATGTCATCTTTTAGGTATTTGAGACCGCTTAAATTCTCTCTTTTTTTTTTTTTTTTTTTTTTTTTTGCTTTTATCACCATATCTATTAAAATGAGCCAATAGTCTCATTTTAACTTATTTTCCTCATCAGGGTCCACAGCTTTTGGTTAGGTAATGTGTTGATTAAATGGTTTATTAGTCACCTTCTTTGGTCCCAGAAGAGATTATCTCCTGTTGACTGTCTCTAAGATATAGATAACATTGTTATTGAGTAAAAGGAGCTCACTTCTTGAAGTGCTAGAAGCCAATACTATGACATCAGGTTTTTAAGAGAAAGCAATTTTATACTGAAACGTTACTCTCAAGCTCATTGCCTCCTCATGGATGTCATGGGCAAACTGAAGGGGAGTTGTGATGAAACAGGCAGTGAAAATTCAGACGGTGACCTCAGCAAGGTGATTCTGCCAAAACACCATTTGGCCATAATGATTCCACCAATTTAAGCCAGTTTGTTTATTTCATAAGTAGAGGGAGTTTCAGTGTTTTGGCAAGTTGTGTTTTTGTTTTTTTTTTCTTTTCTGTTATTCTGCAAGCTCAAGATTTTCTGTTAGATACTGGCTTTCTTTTAACTCTGCAGAAGTGTTGCAAAATGATTGGGGCTATAGGAATCTATTTTCCAAATCTGAGTTTCCACACTGACATTCCTGGGCAAGATGTGATTTCTCCTAACTGCAACCTCCAGGCAGCCTGGTTTGTATGATTTCTGAGTAGCAGCCCAGTCAAAAAAGGGGTTATGGAACTCCAATTTAGTTCTGATTATGGTGTATATAAACATTCTTGTCTCTATTACAACTGGATCTACTACATAAAATGTCTACAGCAAAATAGGAGGGGATCAGATAAAGGTACAATTATAAGTATTGGAATGGATCACATTAATTCTGAGGATATAGAAGGGGAGCAACAACCTGAAACCAGGGGAGTGAACGACTTAGATCTCAGGAGCTATGGGAAATGGATAGGCATGAATAACCTCTTTTCCTTCTGAATTGCCCCTGGCACACTCCAGAAAAGTCTGGCAATAATTTTGGGATAGGATGAGAGTAGGGTTAGTTAGACCAGGTGGAAGTGCAAAGAGTAAGTTTATTTTTTCCATTCCATCCCCCATATCACCCTTAAGAATCCTTTGGGCTGGGCACAGCAGCTCACACCCAGCACTTTAGGTGACCAAGGAGGGTGGATAACGAGGTCAGGAAATCGAGACCATCTGGCCAACATGGTGGAACCCAGTCTGTACTAAAAATATAAAAATTACCCAGGCAAGGTGGCACATGCCTGTAGTCCCAGCTATTTGGGAGGCTGAGGCAGGAGAATTGCTTCAACCTGAGAGACCAAGGTTGCTGTGAGCTGAGATGATGCCACTGCACTCCATCTTGGATGACAGAGGAAGACTCCATCTCAAAAAAAAAAAAATCCTTTGTAATTATCCCATTTCTCTGCAATGTAGTAATGAAATTCTAGTGAGGAGCATGCGTTCTCAGTGCCCAGTTGTCTGAGGCCACAGTTGAGTTGCTTCAGGGAAAAAACAAACAAACAAAAAAAACCAAAATGAAAACACAAAAGCAAAAGCAAAAACAAAAACAAAAAACCCTATTGCTTTTGTTTTTTTCTAAAAAGATTAAATGCCCCATGGTTTAAAATAAGCTGGCTCTACAAAACATTGAATTCATCTTTTATTTTCTCTGTGAGCAGAGGCTCCTCCTTCTGTTTTTCTACCATCTAGAGATGAATCTATATTTGTCAATATTGACATAAATTGGAGACATAAATCATGTAAGAACCCTAGACAAGCCTTCAAGATAATCTGAGTCTTGCTCGTTTCTCTTCTCAATTATGTTGTCAGAGAGAGCTACCTGAGATGAAGTCTCTCAGGAATAGTTAGAACATTGCACTTCTAGAGAAGATGGTGAGACAGGGCAAGACTCACAGTGAGAATAAAAGCTTCTTCTCAATCTTTCAGTGTATCTGTTTCTGGTAGATGAATCCAGAAAAGATTCCAGAGCCAGGGAAGAGCTATTTGAGAGGGTAGAATCACTGTAGATCAGAGTACTAGGTCATATGTTTATTAGTCACCTTCTTTGGTCATATTCTCAGTGCTAAGCCTCTGATAGGGCTTCAGAGCAATGTATGCCTGTGAAAATCTCTAATTCCATTTGAAAGATGAAGTTCTGGCTCTGGGAGAAGTCTCCTATCTGACAGAACATCATGCTTCTGTGGGCATGAGATTCTGTGCCCTTCCTCAGCAGACACCACTGACTCAATAATTGTTTAAGAATCATGCATAAATAGGCCTTCCTTATCATGAATCTCTTAAATAACAAAACAGAGAAAACCCATTTATCCACGTTCAAATTGAATAAGAGTGTAAGAAACTTCACAGAAATTGTTATAGAAGGAAACTCTTGGGCTCTGTCCATCCCCAGAAATCTCAAAATTCTGGCACAATCTGTTACAATTAACCTTATCAGAGCTTGAATTTTTTTTTGCTATATATATTTACCTTTAATTGGACCTTAATTTTGTTATATGTTTTAATTTAATTTTATTTTTTTGATGGAGTCTTGCTGTGTCTCCGAGGCTGTAGTGCACTGGTGTGATCTCAGCTCACTGAAAGCTCCACCTCCTGGGTTCACACCTTTTTCCTGCCTCAGCTTCCCTAGTAGCGGGGACTACAGGCGCCCGCCACCACACCCAGCAATGTTTTTGGACTTTTAGTAGAGACGGGGTTTCACCGTATTAGCCAGGATGGTCTCGATCTCCTGACCTTGTGATCCGCCTGCCTTGACATCCCAAAGTGCTTGGATTACAGGCTTGAGCCATCATGCCCGGCCAAGGATAAACCATTGTTTAACCTTTGTGATAGAAACATCAAATTCCCATATCCCAAGCATTAATAATACTGTCCACTGCAATTGTTATTGCTTATTAACTTTTTGCTATGGTCTGGATATTTGTGTTCCTCACTCTCCACATTCATATTTAAAAACTTAATCCACACGTGGATTCAGTGTGATACTATTAGTTATTGGAACTTTGAGAAAGTTATTAAGTCAGGAGGGCTGCATGTTAACGAGAAAATAATAGTGCCCGTGTGACGGAGGTTGAAAGGAATATTCATGCCCCTTCTGTCGTGTGAAGACATAGCTAGAAGGTGCTACTTGTAAGGAACAGAACCTCACAAGAAAGAGCCTCAGAAAGTTGTTATACAGCAGAACATCTTTCTCTCTTGAGAGATTCTGGCCAACAGTGCTGTATGGTGGACTGTCTTTAGAATGTGAGTTTTTGGTTACCAGAATACTTAGTACTGTTAGGACCTTTCACCAAAGAAATGAGGTCACTTCTTGAAGGTATTATTCTTCTTTCAATAAGACCTATCTTCCTTCAATAAGACCTACTCAAAGGCTTTTCTGCACTGCTGACTGCTCACCATTCTCTCCCAAGTCATCTGATTACTTGTGCACAATTATGCAAATACAGCACCTCCTGCACCAGTGCCGGAGGAAATGGAATGCAGCCAGAGCCACAAGTTTGAGGATACAAGCTGAGTTAAAGTCTTTATGTTTAATGTATTAATTATGTGATGCCAAGTATGTCATTGTGCCTCTCAGGGGCTCCATAGTCTCACAGCCTGCACAGTGGGGATTATGGTGGCATCCAGCTGCAAGGGATCTCATGAGATATGTATAAAATGATACGCATGACTGTTGGGTTTGATATTAAACACAGCTACTGCATAAACTTAGAGAAAGAAACTACAAGGGATGGGACATTGCTTGAATATCTCTCAAACATGCCTGGGTTTTATAACTTGAATCTTGAGAAAGTCATGTCCCCTCTTGAATTTATTTTTCAAACTCCACCATGAAAACATTGAAATTGAATAAAATTTAGATGTTGTTATTCTTTGGCCAGAACAACAACAATAACAACAACACACATTGTAGTACCTTCTCGTTATATGTAGAATCAGGCCCATTTGTCTCACCTTGGCATACGTAGTGCACAGCCTTCATGATGGCTCATAATAATTTTTATTTCCAACTATACACACCCAAATGTAAACAGTAAGTGGTTAGTGACTCACTTCATGGCAGTAGAATACATTTGAAAATAGGGAATGTCACTGCCAATATTTGATTATGAAAAGATTGTCACTTGCTTCTTACTTTCTCTCTCTTGTGATATTGTTTACTTCCTTTTTTCCTGTCTTTCTCTCTGTCTGTCGCATACTTTGCTCTGGAGAAGCGAGCTTCAATGTTTTAAGCTTTCATTTTTACAGGCTTGTGTGACAGAGAATGGAGAGAGTGCCCTGACCAAAGACAGAAAGAAACTAAGAACTGAGTCAAAACAATAATGCACAACTAACCAGATTGAGCTCAGAAGTGCATCCTTCCCAGTCAAGCTTCAGTTGAGACACAGCTTCAGTCTCATGAGTGAGAGGTGACAGCATGCTGGCAGCCCTCACAGCCCTCGCTCACTCTTGGTGCCTCCTCGGCCTTGGCGCCCACTCTGGCCGCGCTTGAGGAGCCCTTCAGCTCACCGCTGCACTGTGGGAGCCCCTTTCTCAGCAGGTCAATGCCGGAGCCGGCTCCCTTATCTTGCGGGGAGCGGGCAGGAACCGCGGCTGCCCGCGGTGCTTCCGGGCCAGCGCGAGTTCCGGGTGGGCGTGGGCTTGGCGGCCCCGCACTTGGAGCGGCCAGCTGGCCCCGCCAGCCCCAGGCAGTGAGGGGCTTAGCACCTGGGCCAGCAGCTGCTGTGCTCGACTTCTCGCCAGGCCTTAGCTGCCTCCCCACGGGGCAGGGCTCGGGAACTGCAGCCCGCCTTGCCTGAGCCTCTCCCCCACTCCGGCCAAGGGCTCCTGTGCGGCCCGAGCCTCCCCAACGAGCTCCACCCCCTCTTCCATGGCACCCAGTCCCATCGACAACCCAAGGGCTGAGGAGTTCGGGAGCACAGCGTGTGACTGGCAGGCAGGCAGCTCCACCTGCGGCCCTGGTGCGGGATCCACTGGGTGAAGCCAGCTGGGCTCCTGAGTCTGGTGGGGACTTGGAGAAACTTTATGTCTAGATAAGGGATTGTAAATACACCAATCGACACTTTGTATCTAGCTCAAGGTTTATAAACACACAAATCAGCACCCTGTGTCTAGCTCAGGGTTTGTAAATACACCAATCAACACTCTGTATCTAGCTAATCTAGTAGAGACGTGGTGAACTTTGTGTCTAGCTCAAGGATTGTAAATGCATCAATCAGCACCCTGTGAAAAGGGACCAATCAGCTCTCTGTAAAACAGACCAATTGGCTCTCTGTAAAATGGACCAATCAGCAGGATGTGTGTGGGGCCAGATAAGAGAATAAAAGCAGCTGCCCGAGCCAGCAGTGGCAACCCTCTCGGGTCCCCATCCACACTGTGGAAGCTTTGTTCTTTCGCTCTTTGCAATAAATCCTGCTGCTGCTCACTCTTTGGGTCCACACTGCCTTTATGAGCTGTAACACTCACCACAAAGGTCTGCAGCTTCATTCCTGAGCCAGAAAGACCACGAACCCACCAGAAGAAAGAAACTCCAAACACATGCTGACATTAGAAGGGAAAGACTCCAGGCACGCTGCCTTTAAGAACTGTAACACTCACCGTGAGGGTCCGCGGCTTCATTCTTGAAGTCAGTGAGACCAAGAACCGACCAATTCCGGACACATGAGGACATTGTGGTAGACCCATTCAACTAAACTGTGTCAGTATTTGTAGCCAACAGAAAATAAGACATAATGCATATTTGGAATTTTAAGCCACTACACATTGAGCTAATGAGTAGAATTATTTTTTCTAATTTTATTTACTGATTGCCCTTAGTTACTGTATAAAAGTGCAATTTAATATTGTGCATTTATCTTGTATCTTGTGACCTGCTGAACTCATTTATTAGTTCCAGTTGATTTTTGTAAACTCTTTAAAAATTCTTGAATATAAGTTGATGCCATTTACAATAAAAGTTTATTTTATAAATTTAGAAGTTTTATTTGTTTTTATTATATAATTTCTCTGCCTAACACCTTTAGTTCAATTTAGTAGAGTAGCGAAAGTAGCCATGCTTATCTGTTTCCCACAACTGTGAGGCAAAGAGCCTAGTCTTTCATCAGCAAGTGTAATATTAGTGGGAAATTTTTATGAATCCTTTTTAGTAGTTCCAGTAAGTTTTTCCTTCCTAGTATGTTAAGGATTTTATAATGAATCAGTGTTGTTTGTATCACAAGCTTTTCTGTGTCTATTAAAAGGATCATTTTATGTTCTTCACTTTATCAATGTTGTGTATTAAATTATTGGTTTTTAGATATTAAGCCACTTCATTTGTAAAAAGATTGTACTTGGCCATGGTGTATAATTACTTTTACGTGTTTCTGTATTTAACTTATTAGTACTTTTTGAGAATTATGTGTCTTTATTTATCAGCCGTATGTACCCATATTAATCCTAACACATGATGGGTTTGTCTGGCTTTGGTATAGTAATATTGGCCTCATAAAGTAGTTAGGGGTTGTTTATCTCTTATCTATGTATGGTGTGTATTTGTAAAGGATTGGTATTTTTATGAAATATTTTGTATAATTTAACAGTTAAAGTATTTGACTCTGATTTTTCTTTGTGGTAAGATTTTTAAAATAATTTAATCTTTCATTATAGGTCTCATATCTCCCACTTCTTGAGCTTCATTTGTTAAATTGGGCCTATCAAGTTATTTACTTCTAATTTGTAACAATCCATGTTTCCAGATCTAGGCAGCTGGTATGCCTGTTTTGTGGGATAATGTAGCTTTGTGAAAGTTTTACGTATTATGTGGGATAATGTAGCTTTGTTAAAATCAATAAATAGCCAAGTTTTTCCTCAGCTTAAGGATTGAGACTATAATTTTTATACTTCATACTTGCATGTATTGCCTGAGTCAAAAAAGCTATTACATCTAAAAGAAACCAGTGAAACATATCATTTGACATGAAGTTTTATCAAAATGACACATTAGCCTAACCCCTTTTTCACAAATATTTAGAAAAGAAAAGAATAAATTTAAATAAGATTACAAAATAATTTAGTCAATAAAGAATATTATAAGGAATAAAAATTTAATGAATCAGGGTTATTAGTACTTAGTAGCCCCTACAATGTTTTAGAAATTATTCTAAGTCATTTACCCACATATACTTAATAGCTGAGTCTAAAACATATAATACAGAAATTTGTTAATAATGACAAATTGAAATATTTACAATTATATTAAATGACATTAAGACCATCAGAAATCAAATGTTTAACATACAGTAACTAAATAAACACAAGTAATGATAACTTTATTAGAAAGTATGACTACTAGCAAGAGAGAAAAATTAATAAAATTTTTCAGCAGTGAACCAAAGATACACACTGTATGACAGAGGGGGAAAATAAATGGCAAGGGTTTAGGCCTAACAATATCATTCATTTTATGAGAGCAGAAATTCAACAGCTCATATCTTTTAGGACACTAAAATGACAGTAGAAATTCTAAATTGTACTCAACAAGTAATATTTAGCCATGCACAAATTTTGTTTCATTAAATTAATTTATAAAATAAATATAAGATTTCATGAATTATTTTTGTGAGGTCAAGGACATACTAAAAGGAAGCACAGAGTTCTGTTCTCTGTAGTTAAGTATATATTTTCATAAAGGCACATAAAAGAAAATTTTAAGTATCAAAAGAACTACCCCTTACAAGTGACTATTACTACATATTTGAGAGAGATGTTTTGAATGAAGAAACGGAATATCTCATAAGATGTGGTTGTATGCTGCCCAATGCCTATGAAATATTCTACTCATGTGTACACTGCATATTTGTGCTTTCAGAAGAAAAGGCTACATATTTTTAAATATTTTAGTGTAGACAAGTAAAAGTTCTCAAGAAGCTACAAAAACTATGAAAATAATGAATACAGTTTAAAAATATAGAAGCACTTGATGAAAGCTAAAGTAAATCAAGAGAATAAGCCAGAGAAGTAATCAAACTGAAAAAAAGTGGTCCCTTCAGATACTGATAGATCACAAGGATGTCAAGTCTGTATGCTGTCCACCTTCCTCCAAGGGAAAATGGAATAAGCACAGAAATAACATGACTACAGACATCTCAAATGTGATATTTCCCAAATATTGGAACCAAGTTAAAAACTAAAGAACACAAGTAAATAAAAAGAAATTTCTGAAGAAAAACTAGGCCACCATTTTCCATATTCAAATATCATATTTGAATCACAGCTCGGTAGAATGTAAAGAATAAAAAAATTAGGACAAGGTATAGGTGAAACACTAAATTAAACAGAGATAAAAAATTACCTGAGTATTGAACAGAATGAATATAACCAAATATAGTAAAGAGAGATGACATATTATAAGATATAGTTTTAACAAGATAAAGGCTGGGATGAGACGCTAAACATCTTAATTATTTTATTAGAACAAAAAGTATGAATGAGGCAGAGCAAATAAGGCCAGCCAGATCCAAGATTTGGGAAAAGAAAATCTTTCCCTCCATGGAAGCAGCCTCAAGTGTACATTGCAGAGGGCCCAGATCAGAGAGGAATGAGAAGTGGTTGCCATTCTTGCAATCAGTGTTATCCGTTTT
The DNA here is from genome assembly GCF_000001405.40 of Homo sapiens. Classification (NCBI taxonomy): domain Eukaryota; kingdom Metazoa; phylum Chordata; class Mammalia; order Primates; family Hominidae; genus Homo; species Homo sapiens. The sequence continues at coordinate 357,970 of NW_021160023.1, read as the reverse complement.
CTTGCAGCCCAGGTTTATATAACTGTTCTAAGTCCAGTAAATTGTCTATAGCTGCACATCTATTAAGAGGCTGAGACAGCAGTCAGGACCAACTTTGCTAAATGTCCATAAACTACTCTACCTCATGGAAATTCTCTGGATCTTGGAGACTCTGGAGAGTGACGCTTCTGCAAATAGAGGCATAATTTATTTGAGATTTTTATCCATCTGTTATTATCCTTTACTGTTAGGAATAATCTTCTCTGAAAAATGCTTTTGACCCACCTTGGAAGGTCTTTTAATAGTTTGGGAAAGTGGGGCATGGCAAGGTGGCTCATGCCTGTAATCCCAGCACTTTGGGAGGCTGAGATGGGTGAATCATGAGGTCAGGAGATCCAGACCATCCTGGATAATACGGTGAAACCCTGTCTCTACTAAAAATACAAAAAAGTAGTCGGGCGTGGTGGCAGGTGCCTGTAGTCCCAGCTACTTGGGAGGCTGAGGCAGGAGAATGGCATGAACACAGGAGGTGGAGCTTGCAGTGAGCCGAGATAGCTCCACTGCACTCCAGCCTGAGAGACAGAGCAAGACTCCGTCTCAAAACAAAAAAAAAAAAAAATTGGGAAAATGGCTGAGGGCTGAGGTTAGAAATCCAAGGTAAAACATTATGTTATATATTTTACATCATAGAAGAAATTTGAGAACACATAGAATACAATCCGCTATTCATAATTTTTTTTGAGCATTTTCAGGCTATGTTTTTGACATAGACTAAGTTGAATTACTGTGCCAGAGACAATCTCGTGTCTAAAAGCAAGTGACATAAAAATAGATCTGCAAAGATACATTTTCTCCTGCTGCAATTTAAGTAAACAGCTGAGTACATCTTCAAGTTGTACTTTGAGTTCAGTAAGATAAATCTGTTTTTTAAGACTCCAAATCTAGCACTAACAATGGGTCAAATCCCTGCAACAGACATGAAAATCACAAACAGCTAATGCGTTCCTCATCCTGAAATTCTCGCTGCCAGCACAGCAGTCTGAAGTTGACCTGGGCCAATTGAGGTCAGTTGGAGGGAGTGGAGTCCACCATTACTGAGGCTTTAGTAGACAGTTTTCCCCTGACAGTGCCAAGGAGGCTGGAAGGTCCGGGTTGGGTGCAGCAAAGTGGCTGTGGCAGACTGCTTCTTTAGAGTCCTCCTCATTGGGCAGGTCATATTTGAAGGAAAGGTAACAGCCCTAGTCAGAGGCTTACACAGAAAACCTCTATCTCCCTGGGACAGAGCACATGGGGGAAGGGGAGGCTGTGGGTGCAGCTTCAGTGGATTTCATCATTCCTGCCTGCTGGCTCTGAAGAGAGCAGCTGATTTTGACTAGAGGGATTCTGCCAGCACAGTGCACCAGCTCTGCTAAGAGACAGACTGTCTCCTCAAGTGGGTTCCCCGTGACTCCTGACTGGGAGAAACCTCCTAACAGGGGTTGACAGACACCTCATACAAAAGGGCTCCAGTTGGCATTGGGCGGGTATCCTCCTGGGATGAAGTTTCCAGAAGAAGGAGAAGGCAGCAATCTTTGCTGTTCTGCAGCCTTTACTGGTGACACCCAGGTGAACAGGGTCTGGATTGGAACTCCAGCAAACTGCACTGGACCTGCAGAAGAACCTTGCTGTTAGAAGAAAAACTAACAAGCAGAAAGCAACAACATCAACATCAACAGAAAGGACCCCCCCAAAAAAAACCCCATCCAAATGTCATCAGCCCCAAAGATTGAAAGTAGATAAATCCATGAAGATGAGGAAAAAACAGCACAAAAATGCCAAAAATTCCAGAAACAAGAATGCCTTTTCTCCTCCAAATGATCACAACACCTCTCCAGTAATGACACAAAACTGGATGGAGAATGAGATTGAAGAATTGACAGAAGTAGTCTTCAGAAGGTGGGTAATAATAAACTCCTCTGAGCTAAAGAAGTATGTTCTAACACAATGCAAAGAAGCTAAGTATCTTGATAAAAGGTTATGGGAACTGCTAACTAGAATAACCAGCTTAGAGAGAAACATAAATGGCCTGATGGAGCTAAACAATGCCTTTAAGTTATATGGGACTATGTGAAAAGACCAAACCTACGATTGATTGGTATACCTCAAAGTGACGGGAAGAATGGATCCAAGCTAGAAAACAAACTTTAGGATATTATCCAGGAGAACTTCCTCAACCTAGCAAGACAGGCCAACATTCAAATTCAGGAAATACAGAGAACATCACTAAGATACTCCTCGAGAAGAGCAACTCCAAGACACATAATCGCCAGACTCTCCAAGGTTGAAATGAAGGAAATAATGTTAAGGGCAGACAGAGAGAGAAGTCAGGTTACCTACAAATGGAGGCCCATCAGACTAACAGCAGATCTCTTTGCAGAAACTCTAGAAGCCAGAAGAGAGTGGGGGCCAATATTCAACATTCTTAAATAAAATAATTTTCAACTCAGAATTTCATATCCAGCCAAACTAATCTTCAAAAGCAAAGGGGAAATAAAGTCCTTCACAGACAAGCAAATGCTGAGGGATTATGTCACCACCAGGCATGCCTTACAAAATCTCCTGAAGGAAACACTAAATATGGAAAGGAAAATATGGTTCACCACTGCAAAACCACACCAAAATATAAAGACCAATCGATACTATGAAAAAACTGCATCAACGAATGTGCAAAATAACCAGCTAGCATCATGATAACAGGATCAAATTCACACATAACAATATTAACCATAAATATAAGTGGGCTAAATACCTCAATTAAGAGACAGAGCCTGGCAAATTGGTTAAACAGTCAAGAATCTTTGGTGTGCTATATTCAGGAGACACATCTCACATGCAAAGACACACATAGGCTTAAAATAAAGGGAAGGAGAAATGGCAAATGGAAAGCAAAAAAAGCAACAACAACAACAAAAAAAGCAAGGTTTCAATCCTAGTTTCTTGTAAAACAGACTTTAAACCAAGATGAAAAAAGACAAAGAAGGGCACTACATAAAGGTAAAGGGATCAATGCAACAAGAAGAGCTAACTATCCTATATATATACCTACCCAACAGAGGAGCACTGAGATTCATAAAACAAGTTCTTACAGACCTATAAAGAGACGTAGACTCCCACACAATAACACTGGGAAGTTTTAACACCCCACTGCCAATATTAGACAGATCAATGAGACAGAAAATTAACAAGGATATTCAGGATTTGAAATCAGCTCTGGACTAAGCGGACCTAATAGACAACTACAGAACTCTCCATGCCAGACGAACAGAATATACATTCTTCTCCATGCCACATAGCACATATTCTAAAATTGACCACATAATTGGAAGCAAAACACTCCTCAACAAATGGAAAAAATGGCAACCATAAAAAACTGTCTCTCAGACCACAGTGCAATCAAATCAGAACTCAGGATTAAGAAACTCACTCAAAACCACATAAATACATGGAAATTGAACAACCTGCTCCTGAACGACTACTGAGTAAATGACAAAATTAAGAGAGAAATTAAGTTTTTTTTGAAACAAATGAGAACAAAGAGACAATGTACCAGAATCTCTTGGACACAGCTAAAGCAGTTTTAAGAGGGGATATGCTAGCACTAAATGCCCACAACAGAAAGCTGGAATGATCTGAAATCGACACCCTAACATCACAATTAAAACAACTAGAGAATCAAGAGGAAACAAATTCAAAAACTAGCTGAAGGAAAGAAACAACTAAGATCAGAGCAGAACTGAAGGAGATAGAGACAAGAAAAACTGTTCAAAATCAATGACTCCACTAGCTGGTTTTTTGAAAAGATTAACAAAAGAGATGGACCACTAGCTAGATTAATAAAGAAGAAAAGAAAGAAGAAACAAATAGACACATTAAAAAATGATAAACAGGATATCACCACTGATTCCACAGAAATAAAAACTACCATGAGAGAATACTATAGACATCTCCACACAAATCAACTAGAAAATATAGAAGAAATGGATAAATTTCTGGACACATACACTTTCCCAAGACTAAGCCAGGAAGAAGTTGAATCCCTGAATAGACCAATAACAAGTTCTGAAATTGAGGCAGTAATTAATAGCCTACCAATAAAAAAACGCTCAGAACCAGATGGATTCACAGCCGAATTTTACCAGAAGCATAAAGAGCAGCTGGTAACATTTCTTCTTAAACTATTCCAAACAATTGAAGAGGAGGGACTCCTCCCTAATTCATTTTATGAGGTCACCATCATAATGATACCAAAACCTCGCAAAGACACAACCGCAACAAAAATTTCAGGCCAATATCCCTGATGAACATCGATGTAAAAATCCTCAATAAAATACTGGCAAACTGAAACCAGCAGCACATCGAAAATGTTATCCACCATGATCACGTCAGCTTCATCCCTGGGATTCAAGGCTGGTTCAACGTATGCAAATTAATAAATGTAATCCATCACATAAACAGAACCAATGACAGAAACCACAGGATTTTCTCAATAGATGCACAAAAGGCCTTAGATTAAATTTAATATCCCTTCATGTTAAAAGCTCTAAATAAACTACGTATTGACGGAAAAAGTCTCGAAATAATCAGAGCTGTTTATGACAAACCCCTAGCCAATATCATACTTAATAGGCAAGTGCCGGAAGCATTCCCTTTGAAAACCAGCACAAGACAAGGATGTCCTCCCTCAGCACTCCTATTCAAGATAGTATTGGAAGTTCTGGCCAGGGTAATCAGGCAAGTGAAAGAAATAAAGGGTATGCAAATAGGAAGAGAGGAAGTCATACTGGTACCAAAACAGATATATAGACAGATGGAACAGAACAGAGACCTCAGATTGCAGGGATATGGAGGAAGCTGGAAGCCATCATTCTCAGCAAACTAACAGGAACAGAAAACCAAACACCACATGTTCTCACTCATAAGTGAAATTTGAACAATGAAAACACATGGACACAGGGAGGGGAACATCACACATCAGGGCTTGTCAGGGGGCAAAGTGAAGGAGAGCACTAGGACAAATATCTAATATATGTGGGGCTTAAAACCTAGCTGACAGTTTGATAGATGCAGCAAACCACCATGGCAAATATAAAACTATGTAACAAGTCTGCACATTCTGCACATGTATCCCAGAACTTAAAGTATAAATAAATAAATAAATCTCCAGCAAGGAAGGAAACCAGAGATCAGGTTAGAGTCTTGCTATTCACATCTGAGTATACAGACTCAGTCCCCAACTCTCTTATTTTTATTCTGCCAGCTCTGACCTGAATATGAACATAACAGACACACAAGAGTTCCAACACCTGACAATCGGCTTCTGCCCAAGAAGAGTGCCCTCTCTTTTGTCCATCCTGCAACTCATGGTACAAAGAAGTGGCGTGGGGCTGCCCAGATGAGATGATGAGAGAGGCCTGGCCTCGATGGACATGTCCTGGGCTGCTCTGTGTTATCTGTAGGTGCACTTGGCCAATGGCCAGGGGTATCAGGGATGAGGGCTGAGTTGACATCTGTGTTATCAGAGAAGGCTTTTACAGTGAGGCTTTGTAAGGCTACAACTCAGAAATATCAAGGCACAATGAAAGGACATCTCACTCTCTTGAGCATCTCTCACCAACAGAAGTGGATACAGAGCTGTCTCAAGAATGTGGGTTCCTGGTTTCTTAACTGCTGTGGGGTTCTGTCACCAGGAAAGTGTGTTGAAGTCTTCAAGGTTCCATCTACTGGGCCCCTTCTTTCTATAAGACCTACCCAAAGGCCCCACTATGCTACTGATTGCTCAGTCTCCTCTTCCATGTCAACTCTTTATTTGTACACAATTATGCAAACACAACTTCCCCTTAATTCCCTGGAAAGACCTAAATGCATCCTGGGTTCCAGGATATAAGAGACAGCTGGAAAATAACCTTGTTTTTCTTACCATCTCTGGGACCTAATAAAAGTCACTGTGTATTTGAGGCTTCCCCAGCCTCCTAGCGTGCACAGTGGGGATAATGTTATCTACTTCCTAGGGAATGTATCAGATGTATATAAGACAAAATGTAAAAATCGTGGTGTAGTTTCACCTGTAAATAATGCACACACTTAGAGATGGAAGCATTAGGAGAATAGGTGGGAGGTAGCATGGGCCACAACTCAGGTAGGCCTGGGGTCCAGCAGTGTAATCTTGGGAAAGTCACTTCCCCACTGGGCTTCAGTTTCATTCTGCTGCAATACGAGGTTGAAATTAAATGTAGATATCATCCTCTGGCATTGATGTGGTTTAGCTGTGTGTCCCCACCCCAACCTCATTTTGTATTATAACCTCCAGGTGTTAAGGGAGAAACCTGAGGGGAGTTGATTGGATTATGGGGACGGGTTTTTCTCATGCTGTTCTTGTGATAGTGAGTGAGTTCTCATGAGATCTGATGGTTTCATAAGCTTCTGGTGTATCCCCTGCTCTCACTCACTTCACTTGTTGACCACCATAATTGGAAGGTTTCTGAGCCTCCCCCACCCAATCTTGTGGAACTGTGAGTCAATTAAACCTCTTTTCTTTATAAATTACCCAGTCCCAGGTATTCCATCATTGCGGTATAAAAATGGACTAATACAACTATTAAACTTTCTAGTGACTTCTTATTATATATAGAATTATATCCATGTGCCTTATCTCACCTAAGTTGGGGAAAGCCTTCACAAAGTCTCCCAGCACTAGGTGGTTAGTGACTCAGTTTGTTATTGAACAAAATGACCTACTGCTCGATGCCTGTAGTATGGCACTTGGGTTTTGAGAAAAATGGCATCTTGTTGTAGGTTGGCCAACAGGAGATAGGAGTCCAGCTCAAATCAGTTTCCTTATATAGGCTTTAAGGTGTTGATTAAAAAATGCTTAAGAAGTGGGCTCTGGATTAGGAGGGGATTGCTGGAAGGAAAGTAGTAATATGGAAAGTCATGAGACATGCACAGTCATCTCCTCTTGCTTCCTCACAGGTCACATGAATATTCAGGGAGAGTTAATATGAAACATGCAACGGAAATTTGGGCTCTAACATCAGCAAACTCATTCTCCATGGACTTCAGTTGGCCATATTGCTTCCAACATATTTCAGCCAATTTTTTAAAATCTTATAAGCAGAGGAGATTTAAGTGTTTCAACAAGCTGTTTCTTATCTTTCATTCTGAATATCCAATTTTTAAAGTCTTTTTTTTTTTTAACAGTTTGAAGGCACAAATTCAGCTTCTGTCAAATGGAATACAGAATAGTGTATGACTTTGTATTAGTTCAGGCTGCTATACCAAAGAACCATGAACTAGACAGCTTATAGACAACAGGATTTAATTTCTCACACTCCTAGAGGTTGGAAATTTGAGATCAGGGTATCAGCATGGTTGAGCTCTGGTGATGACTCTTCTGAATTTCAAACTGCACACATCAAATTTTATTCTCATTTGGTAGAAGGAGATAGACATCCCTCTGGGCTTTCCTGTATAAAGCCAGTAATCTCAATCATGATGGCCTCAACCTCAGGAGTTAATTACAACCTATCTCCTTATAGCATTACACTGGGGGTTACAATTTTAATACAAATTATTGTAACTCTCAAGTTTTTTTAAAGCTGTCATTATTCCTCCTACTGGGTTTTTCCTATTTGCTTCCTCAGTCTTTCCATTTCTTTATGTCTCTTTTTGTGAAACTGTTTGCCTAATTCTGTCTCTCAATTGTATTCCTCAAACAGAGGAAGCAAGCTCCAATGCTATGAGATGCTCTATGTACAGACGCACATAACAAAGAACGGAGGGAGTGCTCAGGCAGTAGACAGAAGTAAAGTCATACTCTCAGTCTACCCTTAACCCTGCCAATTTTCACAAGCATGAGCCTAAAGGTTGATGCTTTTCCGGTCCACATTCAGTTGAGACCACAGCCCCAATCTCATAAGAGACCTGAAGGCAGAGGCAGCTAACTAAACTGTGTCCAGATTCTGGTCCACACAAATTGTGAGATAGTATATACTATTGAAAGGTGCTAAGTTTTAGGGCAATGTTGTCAGAAAGGAGCCGATATCTAGCCTCATCTCCCAAGCCCCAGGATTCTCCATGCCTCTGCTTATCTCTTCCTCAGGCTGTCTGTACCAAATTGGTCCCTTTCTAATCTCTGCCAAACTCACACCTGTAAGACTCTTCACCAAGGGTGGCTTCTCACTGACACATTCTTGTGCAGAGATGCCTCCCTGTTGTCATTCTCATCATGGATTAAAGATCACCTCAGTGAGGACTTTGGGTCCCCCCATGCAATGACTTTGCAGCTCTTCTTCTCAACATTCTACTTTATATAATAGTCCTTGCTCTTTTCTTTTATATATACTTGCTTTAGTGCTTTTGTCGAGCTGGCTTCAGACTGTTCTGTCCTTGGAGGGGTATGCAGGCATGATGTAATCATTTTCTGTGCCACATGTTGGACCCACCAGGGTAGCTGGCAAAGGGTGAGTGCAAGGGAAAAAAGATTGGCTAAGTGGGCAATGTGGAAATTGTTGATAATAACTTGAGGTGTGTGACTCTTACTTGCTCCAGCTGCTCCAGCAAAGCTCAATAGGCACCAGAAACACAGCAGGCTGTAACCACCTCCAGGCCATCACTAACACTGCAGCCCCATGCAGGAACATTATGGAACAAATCAGGTACCATTGTTTTGTGTCCTCAAGACACTGACTCTTTGGAGTTCCAGAGGACAAAGGAGCAGAATCTGAAGGCTCCAAGTATACTGAGTGACCTTGGAATCCTCCATTGCCCTCTCTTTGCCTCCACCATTTGGAGTGTGCTATTTACTCATGAGGCACCCTCCCCTTATCCAGGGAAATTATTTAATACGACTTTCAAATGAGGAGCTCAAAAACCCAACAGGAACTGGCATTTTCCCATGACTTCAGACTCAGGGTCCAGTGTTCTGACACCTTTAGCTCTATCCCATCTTTATCTACCCAAAATGCCTCTGGAGTGGCCATGCCTCTCTCTGATTTGAAGGGCCTCCAGGGAGTAGAAGCATTTCTGCAGAGTTTCAGAGCAAAGAGTCTTAGTTCACCAATGAAGAATCAAGGCTGGCAGACACTTATGAGTATGTGAAACAATCAAGGTTACCCACTTCGAGCACCCCTATTTATGAGGAAGAAAACAGTCTTCTCTGTAGCCATTGTCTACATTAGGCTGAGGTGGAGCATAGCTCATTTTACTTCCAGCTCTCCACAGAAGTGGATACAGAACCCCAGTCCTGTCCTCTTGAAACCGACCTGGAGAGGACCCCATGTGAGACACAACCCTGGAACTGCTCATTCTCTGTGCCCCTGGATATGTATCTAGGGAAGCGGATGCCCTTGCCTTATGGCAGAACTGCCCGCCCAGCTATTCATTTGTAATACATGGCCTTTAATGCTTTGAAGTGAATTTACTTTACACCTAATTTGTTGAGAGTTTTTATCATAAAGCGATGTTCCTTTTTGGAAAAAAGTTTTATTCGTCTATTTAAATGTTATGCTTGATCCTGGGCCTGTCGTTCTGATCAGAAGCTGACAGGTGCATCCATTCCTAGAGGAGAGCATGAGAACATCAGTTCTCACATTCTGTGAACATGACCTGCTTATGATGTCCACTCTGAGTGTCTCCCTGAAGTAAATTGTGGCCCAGGAACTGTCATCTGTTGTCTTCACTGAATTAGGCCAAGTGTCTGGAAAACTGCGTTATATATATGTGATGAATAAATAAGCCCTAACTACAACCTTTTTAGCTATGTCTGAGTGTGCCTGGGGACTTTTTCCTACAGGATCTCTCTGTTTCAAGGACAAAGTCCAGCTAACAGGAAGCTCAAGTGCCCTTTACAAATGTAAGAACATGTTTGTTTTCTATATGATTGTCCAATTATAGAGGGACATGAGTCACTGTGACATGAAAGACCTTCTGGGGTGAAAGAAGAGAAAAAAGTAATAAATACGAACAATCAGAGCATGCCCCAGCAGGCTTTCCACAAAGCCGAGCATTAGGAAACCACTTTTCATATTGTATGCCATTCATTTCTCACAAAAAACATATAAGGTTGTGGGGGAAAGTTAAATATTAAATTTGAATTCAATTGAACATGGACAAAAGCAATGGTCATTAAGTCCCAGACAGGTTGCATGAGCCGCTTGAAGCATTCATCTGGCACTGTTTTGGAGAAATATCTATTTCAATCTATTCCTATGTGTTAGTTATTGAAAAACCACAGACAATTGCAAAAACAAGATAACCTTTTCAAGTTCCTTGAGCCCAGTTGTGAAGAGCCCTCGTGACTGGGCCTCATGCCAAACAACTCATTACAAAAAGAACTAGGGCTCTAGGCCACGCTGAAACTTCCTAAGACCTCTTCTTGTCTGTGCAGGGATGGGTGACCTACTCTGGAGTCGAGGCTGTTGCTTCCCGGTCTGGTAATGAATCCTCCGCAGTCTGGTGGGCGTAAATATGTATATATGTTTCCCTTCTCCCCTTCCCATTGCAATTTGCTTATTATAGCTGCACTGCCATTTACGTCAGATAAAGCTTGTTTACCCTTAAAGGTTTTTTTGGGTGTGTTTTCTTCTCCCCTTGCATGTCTCTCGTACAGAACAGAGGTTCATTTTACAATTCTCTATAAAGATGCAAATTGAGGCTGATAAAGATGCACTGGTATGCTAAGACACAGTTAGTAGCTGGCAGAGTCACCACTGTGCCTTGGAGAAGACATATGCTCAACTACTAGACAGCTGGTCCAGGAACTACAGAGTGGTGAGGAAGTCCTGGTAAAACTTGAGAAAAATGATAAAAAGAAGAGAGTTTGACCCTGGAAGGCTGCTGTCAGGGACTTCGTCAGCTTCTCCGTTGTGCCTGGTTTGGCGCATTGGCATCATTCACACCTCTAGGTTAAGAATAGACTCATTTCCTCCTGGGGAGGGGACAAGACTTTTCATGGCAAGACCATGAAACACCAGAGGCTTGGAATGTGGAGCTTGGATGAGGAAATCTCCATCCTTCAGAGACTTGGGCATGTGGAGGACATGGGTGTTTATGGTGAAAAAGGTTTTAGGCCTCTGATATCAAATTTAATGTGGAGGTAGAGAATAATTAATCCATGAATACATTCAAGGCCTTCACGATATCATATCAGCTGTAAGACAACAGCACCCACTTGTATTAATAATCTTTATGAAGAGCATTATCCCAGAGAATTCCCAAAAAAACATACTCAGCCTACAAATGAGAAAATAAAGCTTTGTGATGTCAAATGGCTGCTCAGAAAAACACAAGTAAGAAAGAGAATCTTCCACGGTGGGGGTTGCATGAAATTCCCTTTAAGCTACCTGAGGCTCTATGTCTGTCCCTGACTTAGGGGGAAGGGCATGGGGAAGGCTCACTTTCTTTCTGTTTTAGAGACAGGGCACAGGATAAGATACCCTAAGACAACCCTTTTGACTTAAAGCAACTGAACTGGGTCTTTTAAAACCTTAAAGGGAGTGTTGAGAAATAACTACAGCAACCCCACACCTGACAAAGGTGTCAGTGCTTGGGGACTCCAAGGTGAGAGAAACCCCTCACAGGGCCAAGGAATTGAGTGGATTAACTGAGGGAACAGAAAACTCAAATAAGTATAAATCAACTGAAAGGTAACTCAAATATATCAGTTGAAAAATTGAAATAGAAACATGTTTTTTTGCCACATAGATAGCAGATTGACAAAAAAATTAAAAGAATGTTGACAACCAAGAGGTTCTGGATACATAAAAGCAGATAAATTCAGAAACTACTATTTACAGTACGGCTTTCACAACCCTTTTGGAATATATTCCGGCTTTTCCTATTAAACCTTTACACTTTCCTACTGTTTCACTGAGTAATCATTTTCCTGGGAGACTATAATCTACAAGGGATTAGTAAATGTTGTGAGCTAGATTGCATTCCCTTCCTAAAAATTATATGTTCATGTCCTAACACCTAGTGCCTCAGAACGTGACTATATTTGAACATATAGCCTCTGCAAATGTAGTTAGGTTTAAGTGAATTAATTGGGGTGTATCCTAATTCCAGATGACTGGAGCCCTTATTAGAAGAGGCAGGAAGGACAGAAAAGCACAAGAGAAGATCTTGTGAACACAGATATAGTAGATGACGATCTACAAGCCAAGGATGGAGACCTCAGAGAAACCACACAGCCAGTAGCTTGAGGTTGGATTTCTAACTTCCAGAATTGTGCGACATTCAGTTTTTGTTGTTAAAGAACTTCAGCCTGTGGTACTGTATTAGGGAAGTCATAGCAAAGCGTTACAGCCTATTAGGACACAGATAAGATGTTCCCTGTAGCGGCTGGGCGCGGTGGCTTACACCTGTAATCCTAGCACTTTGGGAGGCCGAGGCGAGTGGATCACGAGGTCAGGAGATCGAGACCATCCTAGCTAACACGGTGAAACTCTGTCTCTACTAAAAAAAAAACCACACACACACAGAGAAAAAAAATTAGCCGGGCGTGGTGACAGGCGCCTGTAGTCCCAGCTACTCAGGAGGCTGAAGCAGGAGGATGGCGTGAACCCAGGAGGCGGAGTGCAGTGAGCCGAGACTGCACTACTGCACTCCCACCTGGGCGACAGAGCGAGTCTCCGTCTCAAAAAAAAAAAAAAAAAAAAAGATATTCCCTGTAGCATGGCTGAAGTGGAAATATAATTTATTATGTCAGGCTCCACCAGTATTAAAAGCCTAAATTACTGAGGGAAAGGCCCCACTTATGGAATCTTATGAAGACATATGAGGACACAGCTCCTGTCCTGATGGGGCTATAGAGGTGGGCTCTGGGACACATATGTAAAGAGTCATATAAGACCCTTTTGCATAACTCCCACTTTTTGGGTGAAACCTCTCTCTAGTAACAGTGTGAACTTCTAAGACTTAGAGAAGGTCTGGCAAGGCAGCGAAGCTGCCTGCTCCAGGAAGTATGTGGGGTGGGTAGATATAACAATAAAAATAATAGCAACATGCAAAGATACTCACAACTTAATGTAAAGTAATAACAACACAAAAGTGTTTATTTTGACATTCCTGCAAGCATATGACCGGGGACTGTGCACCTAAGTTGCCATTATGGACTAATGGAGGCCAAATTCCTCTGGGAAGGAACTGTGGGTCCTTAATGGAGAAAGCCCTAAAACGGTTTCTGGGGAATCCTCACATTTGGGTCAGGGTCCTGGGCTTCCCTGGTCTTTTCCATTTGGAGACCTCTCTGTGCCCACCTTGACTCCAGACTAGCACGGGCCATGGTTGTTGGCATGATGCACCTGCCTTTTGTTCAACGAGATGGAGTAGTTGGACTCATCAAACAGCTCCTCAGGGATCTCCTCAATAGAGTTCTGCAAAGAGAGTGCCTGGAAGCCTGGCCAAGAGGCATCAATGGCATCCTGGCTTTCCCCACAGGGGAAATTCCAGTTAGAAAGTCTACTCCCCAGATCAGGCACATAGGAGCATTTGCGCAGACCTCCAGCCAGGGAGAAAACAAGAGGACAGCTTGAAGCCTTAGAATAAATGTCTGAACAAACAAAGGTGACCCCCAGCACTCACCTTCCCCTCCTGCCAACTGTAACCTGCGGTATAAATTTGACAGGCTTTTAGCCTCCCAATACCTGGAAACCTGCTCCTGTCAAGAAAGGACCCATTATCTCTTTCTTTCCCACGAGACGTGGAGATGAGGAGGGATGTGTGCCTGCCGAGATGATATCAAAGGTGAGGCCTGGCCTGGATAGGCCTGCCATGGGTGGCCTTGTGTTATCTATGGGTAACCCTTTCCAAATGGCCAGAAGAGCCAGCAGTGCAGAATGAGCACTGTCTCCATCATAAAAAAAAATTCTCTCTGTTCAAGCCTTCCTGAGATGAGAGCCTCAGAAATTCAAGACATAGCAGGAGAACATCTTGCTGTCTTCAGAGTCTCCTTAGTAAATACAAAGCTGTCTCTAGAATTAGGGCTCCAGGTTACCAGAGTTCTAAACTTTCTTTGAGTTTGTAACTAAGGAAGTGAGGTCACTTCGAGATTCCATCACCTGGGCTCCGGTGCGGGAAATGAACGAGGGGAAAAGAAAAGGCACCCACAATAGTTTTAAGGATAAATAGCCTTTATCCCAAGTGTATGGCAATACAGACTTGATAAGCAAATAATATAATAAGCAAATTGCAATGGGAAGGACAGAAAGAAAATATATATATGTATATTTACACACACCAGACTATGGAGGATTCATTACCAGACTGGGAAGCAACAGCCTGGGCTCCAGAGTCAGCCACGTGTCCATGTACAGATGAGGAGAGGTCTCATGAAACTTCAGCACAGTCTGGGACCCTAGCTCTTTTTGTAATGTGTTGTTTGGCATGAGGCGCAGTCACAGGTGCCCTTCACAACTGGGCTCAAGGAACACAAAAGATCAACTTGTTTTTGCAATTGTCTGTTGTTTTTTCAATAACTAATGTATAGGAATGGATTGAAAGATTTCTCTGAAACAGCGCTGGATGAACACCTCAAGGGGCTCATGCAACCTGTTCCAGGACTTCGTGACCATTGTTTGTGCCCATGTTCAATTGAGTTCATATTAAATATTTAACTTTTCCTCCACATTAGATTCCCAATTCTCAGAACCATGTCCACTGCCACAGGGCCTGGCTGGGAATATTGTCACTCATAGAGTTTAGAAGATGGAATGCTGGTCAGTGATGATGCTAGGGTGTTAGGTGAAGGCAGCCGGGACAGTCCCTCCAGGTTGAGGGAGGAGCTGGCCTCTCTTGTGGGGTCCTTGGCATGTCATTGCCGCTTTGGGCCTCTGTTTTCTTATGTGGAAAATTTAGGAATGATGAGCCTGTTGGGCAGGCCTCACAAGGTGGTGATGGGGCTCAGGGAGACAGAGAATCTGAGGGTGCTTGTGTCTGGCTCATCCTGAGAGGGATGATGGTGACAGCAATCATGACAACCACATGAAACCGAGGTGGTAAGAGGCCTTGTGAGGTAGTTGGTTCCCACCACACTTTCCAGTTGAGGAAACAGCTCAGGGAAACCCGACTGCATGCCCAAAATGACACATCCAGGGAGTGTTGGACCTGGGAGTGAGTCTAGAGTCAGAGCTCACTGGAGATGGTCAGAGCATTGGACAAGCTGACTCAGGCCACTTATCCGTGTCCAAGGTTAGTGTGGTTGAGGCGTAACTGAAAGAAGCATATTTTCACTGACCTTGTCCCTCATCCTAGCAGGTGAACACCGTACAAGTTGTCTACCCTGTAGCGGAGCCCCAGAGAGCTTAGGTGAGGCTATGACAGCAGAAGGTGAATGTGCCTGTGATGGGGAAGGGCTCCAGGGTTTCAGAGAACAGAGCTTACTTCTCCCAGCTGGAAACTTCCAAATCAAAAAAGCAGAGGGCCTTTCTACTCCAGCCCTTTTCTCCTGGGGCTGCAGTGCCTAAAACTCCTTCATTAGACAGACCAGAGCAAGGCCTGGGAGAGCTGGGCTCTGTGTGGCTTTTAAAACAGGTGGAGCCAGGGACCACATGACCTTGTGGCTTGTTAAAATCCCACCAAGGAGGTAATTATGGTGAGGTTGGTGGCAATAGAGGCCAGCTAATGGGAAGACATAGAGAATTGGGAAAAGGCAGCTGAGGGTTCTCAGCTACTCCAAGTGGGTAACCTAGGTAGAGGGCGCCAGGAGGCAGGGGTTTATAAGAGTTCAGCGGACAGGACTTGGGTGGGCACCTCCCAAGTCATGCCCTCTCTGGGGACATTCCTCACTGATGTGGTGATGCTGGACATTGCCATGAAGGAGTGTGTGGATGTGAGTGAGCCTGGAGCAGACAGGTCAGGGACCAGGATCCTGAGGCCTGGGAGAAGAGAGTCTTGAACTGAGCTCCTAGATCTCAGTCCTTGCCAAAATTTTTTGCGAGGGCCTCGCAGCCCTCCCCATCCCGTAAACAGGGTATTTTACTCATGAGTGATGGAGGCTCCACAGCAGCCATCAGTCCCACTCCCTGAGTAGTGAAGCTGCAGAGCTGCAAGACCTCTTTTGTGCACATTCCCTGACCCTGGTGGCTCTGGTGGTGGTGAAGCTCGGAAATCGCTGGAAATGGAGGCTAGTTATGGACCAGCGGACCTTTCTGATGGTCTTTGGCTTTCTGTCTTCCAGAGAAATGTGATCAAAACCCAGAAAAACAGAAAGGTGAGCAGTAGCTGAAGTCCTCACTTTGAGGGAGGGTGGAGGTGGAAATGAGAAATCACCCTGGGCAGGACATTCCCTGGTCCCTTCTTCCGCATCTAAGATTTATTGAAAGGGAGTAATACACAGAGAAGGAGGAGACCTATCCTAATGCAGGGTGCAATCAGGGGAGTGAAGTTGATGACAACTTCCTAGAGGAAGGGCCGTTTACATTCAACTCTGAGAACCAGTTAGGGCTGCATGATATTGGAGGGGAGGTGAGAGCCCCTTAAAAGAAACACCTCAGAGACCAGCCCTCCTCCCTTCTTTTATAAGGCCCCTACAGAGTCTTTCACCCAGGCCCTGTCAGCATCCTGTCTTTCCCTCTGTTTCCAGAAGATTAAAGTCCTCCAGGAGATGCAGCAGTTCCACACAGCTGGAAACCATCATCATCTTCAGACTCAAGAGGAATTTCGGGCTTTGTTCCAAGCCTGGAGCAGCACAATCAGAATAAAAGGCAAAGACCTAGCAGATGAGCAGAGGGTAGGAGGGGAGACTGTCTTGCCGCCAGCCTCACACAGCGTGTGGCCATGGTTCCCTGGCCGGCATCAGGTCCTGTTGCACCTGGACTCCAGCTGCTGGGGAGGAACTGGGGGACCTGAGGTGTGGCTTCTGGAACCTCACAGCTGTCACTCTTCTCTGAAGTTGCTAGCCATGAAGAACAGACTGTGATAAAATCTCAGAGCCATTAAGTGCCTGTTGTTGGAATTGCTTTCATGGCTCATTGAAGTTTGTACTAAGCATGGGCTCTGGCAGTCAGGCAGCTCAAGTAGGGTTCCAGCCACACCATTGACCAGCCCTGCGAGTGGGGCAGAAAGCTCACTACTCTGACACTTGAGGCATCACGTCGTAAATTTAATGCAACCAATCCCTTTTTCACTGTTACCTACCTTTCTCTATAAACACCATGACCTGATCTCTGCTAGCATTTTTCTTAAAATGGATAAACATATGTTATATAGTATATATTATTCTTCCTCATGATTTTTTTGCTATATTGTCTCTTTCCACTCATATGAGATATTTACAGCAGTTAAGTTCATAGAAACACGAAGTAGAAGAGTAGTTTCCAGGGACTACACAAAGGGCAATGGAAGGGGAGTGTTGTTTACTGGGTACAGAGTTTCACTTTTAAAAGATTGAAAAACAGTTCCTTATGAACTTGGACAATGGTTGCAAAACAATGTGAATGTATTTAATTTCTTTAAACTGCACACAAAAAAAATAATAAAATGGTTAATTTCATGTATTTTTATATTTTACTAAAAGGTAAAAACTACTTTCTAAAATGAACAG
The DNA here is from genome assembly GCF_000001405.40 of Homo sapiens. NCBI lineage: Eukaryota > Metazoa > Chordata > Mammalia > Primates > Hominidae > Homo > Homo sapiens. The sequence goes on along the minus strand of NW_021160023.1, from coordinate 340,413 downwards.
ACTATAGCTATTTGCAACTGGTGGGTGAATATCACAAATGTAATGTTGCATAAAAGAAAGCAGACATGCCAGTTTGGGCAACATAGTGAAACCCTGTCTCTACCAAAAATACAAAACAATTAGCCGGGCATGGTGGTGCAAGGCTGCGGTCCCAGTGACTCAAAAGGCTGAAGTGGAAGGATATCTTAAGCCTGGTAGGCAGAGGTTGCAGTGAGATCATGCCACTGCACACCAACCTGGGGAAAAGAAAGAAAGAAAAAAGAAGAGAGAAAGAAAGAAGGAAAGAAAGAGAGAAAGAAAGAAGACAGAAAAGGAAAGAAAGAAAGAAAACAGAAAAGGAAATAAAGAAAACAGATGTACAAGTATACATACTATATAATTTTGTTTATATAAAATGCTACAATCAAATAAAACTGAGGTTCTGACTTCCACTAAGTGTGGACTAGCTTGTTGAACTCTCACAAATAACAATGATGAAACTTGAATAAAATATATTATTATAGAAAAACGCCTATGCATAATACATATATGATATGTGTGTTTAACAACTGAATGAAGATTTCAGCTATACCCACTGTAGCGGACATAAGCATTGGTTTGACACTAGCCCAATGAACCCTGTTTATAAAACAAAAGTCTTCAAGGTAAAACAGCAAAATCCAGAGTTTCTATTCTATAATTATCATTTATAGTTTCTAGTGCACAATTTTAAAATTCATAAGACTTGTAAAGAAACGTGAAAATGTCATCCATACACAATATCAAAAGCAGGCAGTAGAAGCTATCCCAGGATGTTGCAATCAGCAGACAAGAATTTGAAGGCAGTTTTTATGAATATGTTCATGGGGAAAAAAGAAAATATTCTATTCATAAACAAACAGATGTGGAACTTCAGCAGAGAAATGAACATATATATAAAAAAATTATAGATAAGGAAATGAAAAAAATCTTTTGAGTTTAGCCATAGATTTAAAACAGAAGACACAGCAATAGAAATTATCCAGTCTGGAAAAAAAAAAGTACAAAAAGTTTAAAGGAAATGAACAGAGCTCTCGAGACCTGTGGAATGACTGAGTCTAAGGAGAAGGGAGAGACAAAAAAAAATTAAATAGGGAACAGAAGTAAATCAACAACTAATAGCGGAATACTTCCAAAAACTGTCCAAATACCTAAATATTTATATCCAAAAGGTCAATAAATACAAAACAAAATACAAATAAAACCACAGCAAGGCCATATCGTGGTTTATGAAACAGGCAAGGCAGGGCTTTTGCTTGACTTGCTGTGATATCTAATTGCTACTATTTATGGATACTATGGAAATAAATACTAAATAGAATGGGAGATAGGTTATTCTCAGAGTTTTTTTTTTTTTTTTTTTTTTTGCCAAGATGACTGTTATTAAAGGTAGATGACTTTCCAGCATGTCGAAAGGGGCGTGGCAGGGGAGGGGCGAGGAGAAGGGTCGGGGCTGAGGGAGGGGCCCTGCAAAGGTCTGGGCGCGCCCAGCTCCCCGAGAGCAAGCGTTACAGCAACGCTGGGCAGGCTGTTGGAGGCTCCCGGGCTCTGTCTTGTCAGAGAGAAATCAAACTTCAGGCACAAATAGTCGTACAACTGGCACGTGGGGAGACTGTGCCACAATTACAAGTGAGACCACCTGCCCTGGCCACGCTGTCTCCTCGCACGCAGAAGTCTGGGAACAGATAGGCTCCCCTCAGCAGGGCGGAATTGCACTGGAAACATGGAGGGGCGGAGGAGAAGATGAAATTATCCCCTCAGTGTTGGAACTGTAGTCTCAGAGAAGATGAAATTTTCCCCGTAGTGTTGGAACTGTAGTCTCAGATCCACTCCCAGCCTTTCTGTCGCGGCAGTCGGACTATGATCCCAGCATGCGCTGGGCTTAAGGGAGGTTCCCAGCCCTGGAGGAAGGGTCAACAGGGTGGGTCCCTCGCAAGGCGTCCTGGGAGTCATAGTCCTTAAACAGTTTCCAGCACGTTGATCGCAAGGCTACCGAACTACAATGCCAGCATGCACCGGGATTGGGGCGGTGTGTAACGCTGGAGGGAAGGATAGAGAGGCGCGTCCCTGGCCAGGGATGCTGGGAGTTATGGTCTCTTAATGGTTTCCAGCGATGGCCCCCGGCCTGCAGACTAAAATCCCAGCAGCCACCGGGCTTCGAGGCGGTGTGTAGCACTGAAGGGAAGGATAGGGAGGTGCGTCCTTAGCCAGGCGTGCTGGGAGTTATGGTCTCTTAACAGTTTCCAGTCAGTTGGTCCCAGGATTACCTGACTACAATCCCAGCATGCGTTGGGCTTGGGGGCGGTGCGCAGCCCTAGAGGAAGGATCGGGACGGCGGGTACCTCGCAAGGCATCCTGGGAGTCATAGTCCTTTCAGTATTTCCAGCCCATTGGTCGCGAGGCTAACGGACTACAATCTCAGCATGCGCTGGGTTTGGGGGCGGTGTGTAGTATGGAAGCGAAGGATAGGGAGGCGCGTCCCTAGCTAGGAGTGCTGGGAGTTTTGGTGTCTTAACGGTTTCCAGCCCATTGGTCGCCGACCTGCTAACTACAAAACCAGCATGCGCTGTCTGTCCTCCCCCGTGGTGCGCAGCCCTGGAGGGAGGGACAGGGCGGTGTGGACCTCGTCCTTTCCTAAGCGATGCCACATGCTGATTCTGTGCCACCCCCTCGCCAAGGGAGTCCGCAGAAGGACTTGAGGGGCAGGTCTAGGCTGGGCGATGAGGACGGTGTGACCCTGCGAAGTGCACCTCCCTTGCTCAAATCGGAGGTGTCTGGTCCTCACTGCACAGCCCACTGCACATCTCGGTGTCCTCTCACATACACACCCGCGGGGGTTTCCAGAGCATCGCACCTCTTCCAGCCCAGGGAGCCGCCTGCTCTGCTAAACTCTATGGGAACTGAGACATCCACCTGCTGCGTGACCCACCCGTGCGCAACTTCAGAGCTTTCAGGGGGTGATGCGGGCTGTGGCTCCTTCGTGAAAATGTCACCGTCTGCAGCGCCTTTCTTGTGATATAGAACTTGACGGGTGAGAGCGGGTATTTCTTGGGTTACTCAGGATCTGCTAACAGCAGAGGAGAAAACCACAATTCCCAGGCATAAGAATCTACCTAAAGATGATGGTTTAGATATTTTACAGTTGAAATCACCAGCCTCATCTCAACTGAGTCCTGACTGACGAGTGTCTCAAAAAAGCAGTTGGTGACCTCATCCCTCAGGAACAGGTGGTGCTCCAGCTTTGTGGGGATGACTTTCAAGGTGCAGAGCACTTGAGCCGCATTTGAAGTCATTCATGTTTTACATCTCTGCTTTGGATGGAAAGTTGATCCCCCACAGCCGTTGGGGATGTACCTTAATATACTGGGGCTTATCAGTTAAATTTTTCTGTCTAGACAATGAAAACCCAGAAGTTCCACTTGCAGGTAGCCTCTTAATAATCGAAGTCCCTAAGTTCCTTATGTCCTCAGGATAGTTCCTTTTGTTCCCAGATGTTACCAACTTTGATGATGCATCTAATCTGTACAAACCTGTGTATTTCTCTATGTGAAAAGAATACTTTGTTCAAATTACATGTTCTTATAATTTTCACTTGTGATCGGTGAGTATGGGACACTATAAAAAAATCCTGAAAAACCTCATCATAGCAATTGAATCATGTTACTGTACTTTATGAGGGATTAACCCCTTCAGGATGAATTACTCATGGGTTCATCAGCACATTTGTGAAGAAAGGAAGAAAAACTGTATGGCCTTTATGAAATTGGAAAAATAAAGAACTATATATAGGAGGACCACAGCACAATACTAGGGCCCTTCTCTTATTTTAAATAGACTCTATGGGGTCGAATGCCTGCATTCCTAACCTATCCTGCAGTATTCTCATCCTACTCTTCACTGTGTATTTAGGTGTGTGTTTCTGAATTCACTTGTCCACAGCGTTAGTGGGGATGTTGTAACGTGAGGGTATCCATCATCTATCATCTTAATAATCAATGAAGAGAAGAGCCTTGAGATCTGTCTTCAGATACACTGCTGCCGAGTATGTGCCTGCAAAGACACTGCCCACACCGGTGGTCTCAGAAAGTTGAACCTGATGCCACCACAAGCTGCTGTTCACAGATCTAGGTGCTCCTTGTGATTTGAGTCTCCTGCTTACATTTGTGGTTGTGAACCTGCTATGTTCACCCCATTTATGGTAGTATACTTTGTGTTGCCTTTTCTATTCCATTTGTTTCCTGGGAACTCACTGTGTAACTGCAATTCAGAGAATATGTAGGGATTCCACCCCCGACTACCCAAGTCACTGTACACTGGTCACATTTGTGTCATGTTTTCAGACTACACACTCTTCCTCTCTAATGGAATTTGTTGAAGAAATATAGTTGCCTGTAGATCTCCTCAGTGTAATGTGGCTGGGATTGATTATGAAGCTGGGCATGTTGTCCTTGGCCTCATAGACATTATTCAAAATACTTTTCCCATATTTTGAAGTTTGATACTACTTTGTTAATGTGAACACTTGCCATAGCAGGCTCTATTAAATATCTCTGTGAATTTAACTGTCAAAACAACTTATGAAGTAGGCACATGATCCCCATTTTACAGGTGAGGAAACAAATGTTCCAAGATTTTGAGTAATTTTATTAACTTTACACAGCTTTCTGGTGCATTTTGAATCTTAAGTTGGATCTCTTTCTCCACAATGTGTGGGCTTACCTCCTTTTCTATTTTGTGCCTCTCTGCTAGCATCTGCAAGGGTACATTTTATTTTTAGTACATCTTCCACTTGATGGTAGGAAACTTGACAAACAGATCCTTAGTGGGAGAGGAAACTCACTGGCATTTGTCCTTCTCTCTGCTCCTTCTTACCCTGGCAGGCATGAGAGTTATCAAGTGAGATGGAGCAGTGGTAGATCCTGACCAGTCCTCACCTGGAATATTTGTTATTATAAAAAAATAGTCCTCTCATTTTTTACAAGTGTAACTTCTTTGCCTTAAAGTTTTGTCTGGGCTTTCTCTTACAGGTTCCTGCGAATGAAGTTGCAAATATTGATGAAGATAATACTACTGCCTTGCTGTCAAACAGTAACAGTCACCTTTTTTTGTATCTCCAATTATAAATGCAATGCGTACTGTAAAAAGAAAAGAAAACATCATAAATATCTTTATAAAGTAAAAGTCTTGGCTGGTCTCTGGGAGCAGTGACTCATGCCTGCAATCTCAGCACTTTGTGAGGCCGAGGTGGGTGGATCATGAGGTCAGGAATTTGAGGCCAGCCTAGCTGACATGGTGGAACCCCATCTCTGCTAAAAAATACAAAAATTAGCTGGTCTCGGTGGCGGGTGCCTATAATCCCAGCTACCCACGAGGCTGAGGCAGGAGAATCACTTGAACCCAGGAGGCAAATGGTGCAGTGAGCCAAGATCGTGCCATTGCACTCTAGCCTGGGCAACAGAGTGAGACTCCATCTCAAAAACAAAACAAAACAAAAAACTTGGTTGGCCTAGTGGCTCAATCCCAGCACTTTGGGAGCCCAAGGCAGGTGAATTGTTTGAGCCCAGAAGCTCAAGACCAGTGTGAGCAACATGGTAAAACCCTCTCTCTACAAAAATACAAAAATTAACCAGTTGTGGTGATGTACACCTGTATTCCCAGCTACTAGGGAGGCTGAGGTGGGAGGATTGTTTGAGCCTGGGAGGCCAAGTTTGCAGTGAGCTGAAATCACACCACTGCGCTTCCATGTGGGCAACAAAGTGAGACCCTGACTCAAAAAATAAAAAACACATTAAACTGAAAGTCCCCTTTATTCCCTTCTCTTCAAACTCACTTTTTTTATTTGAAAAAACTGTTAAGAGGTTGTTTTTTATTCTTCTGGCTAAGTTGTATAAATTTCTTTTTTTTTCGAGACAGACTCTCGCTCTGTTGTCCAGGCTGGAGTGCAGCGGCGCGATCCCGGCTCACTGCAAGCTCTGCCTCCCGGTTTCACGCCATTCTCCTGCCTCAGCCTCCCGAGTAGCTGAGACTAGAGTTGCCCGCCACCACACCCGGCTAATTTTTTGTATTTTTAGTAGAGACAGGGTTTCACCGTGTTAGCCAGGATGGTCTTGGTCTCGATATCCGGCCCCCTGATCTGCCCACTTCGTCTTCTCAGAGTGCTGGGATTAGAGGCGTGAGCCACCGCCCCCGGCCTGTTCTATAAATTTCTAAGTGATACACACATAAAGTTTATTTTAAAAATTACATCACACTACATTAAAATTTACTCTTTCTCCAGGTGTATTCCATCTATCTATCTATCTATCTATCATCTATCATCTATCTATCTATGACAAGGCCTTGCTCTGTCACACAGACTGGAGTTCAGTAGTTCAATTATGGCTCACTGCAGACTCAAACTCTCAGGCTCAAATGATTTTCTAACTTCAGCTTCTGAAGTAGCTGGGAGTACAGGTGCATGCCACTACTCCTGGTTAATTTTTAGTTTTTGTTTGTTTTTTTCTTTAAACAGGGTCTCACTGTGTCACCTGGGCTGGAATGCAATGCATAATCACAGCTCACTCTAGCCTTGACCACTCAGGCTCAGGCAATTCTCCTGCCTCAGCCTCCTGAGCAGATGGGACCACAAATGTGTATTAACACACTTGGCTGTTTATTATTATTTGCAGAGACAGGGTCTCCCTATCCTGCCCAGGCATGTTGTGAACTCTTGTGCTTAAGCAATCTGCTACCTCGGCCTCCCAAATTGCTGGAATTACAGGTGTGAGCCACCACAACTTACCCAGCCTTTTTACTTTGTGTAAGAATAGCATCAGTGTATTAAAAATACAACGGAAATTATTTATGGTGTCTTTTCAATTCTTATGCATTAAAATTCTCTTATTAGGGCCTTTTATTAATGGTTACAGTGTATTTTCTGTGAAATTTTACTGTCACACACTGCATGCCAATGATTCAAGATACCCGAACTTCATGAATGCACAGTCACAGTAGAATATTTTAGTTATCTAAAAAGTATTTTCATAAATGATATATCAAGTTTATATGCAAGGTAGCCTGGTCTGGTAGCAGGTGCTTGTAATCTCAGTGAAGGCTGAGGCAGGAGAATGGTTTGAACTCAGGAGGCGGAGGTTGAAATGAGCCGTCGTCTCGCCACTGCACTTCAGCTTGGGTGACAGAGTGAGACTCTGTCTCAAAAAAAGAAAAAAACTTTGCTTGCAAGATTTTATGAGTAAATATGTTTCTTATTTTTCTTTACAATTCCATATTACTGTCTCGATTATTTATAATAGGTTCCAGGGCAGCAGTTGATTTTATTTTGGGTTTTACTTATGTATTATAACTTTGGATGTTATAATTTCCAACTCTGCCTGTACACTTCAAGTCAATGTGGATTTTTAAAAAAATGTTAATAGTACAAACTATTCATAGATTCAACTTCGTAATGTTAAAAGCAACGGCAGCTCCTGGTTTAAAAAGGGAACGGTGGAAGCAGCCGGCCATTTTATTTAAAATCGCGTTAGATTTTTCAGATGGATGATAGTTAAGATCATTAAATCCCATTACTGCTTCTAAGATTTCCACAAAATAGCACATTAAATCCTCAGTCCTAAACAATCACGACAGAGATTCAAAATTGCCTCTCAATGTCAAGGTAAAGAGCGCACTATCTTCTCTTGCAATAAAGGTACATCATTTGATATACAAGGGAGCATAGCAGTCAGACACTTACAAGATCGTGCTGTAGAAATAACTTCCATGTTTTCATCCGCCATGTGTATCCTCACCTCTGTCTCCCATGCAGTAACACTATCAGTTTCCTCATCTGTCCTTTCTACTTTCTTTGAAAGAGGATGCTGATTGCAGACAATACATGACAGAGGCATTTCAAATCAGAAAGGAGTGTCTTGAGATATACGTGATTTTAGTTTTAAGTAGAATGTCCTGAAGAGTTTTAGTTACAATACCACCTTCAAGAGGATGGTGGTGAAATTCATAGTAAACATTTGGCAAAATATAGGTTATGAGGCAGCCATCTCCTAGAAACACTTCATCGGGGTTTATATATGAAATGTGAAATATCGTAGGTTTAATCCTGGCACAGAACCAAAACTGAGTGCATTGCACTTGAACAGCTGACCAATCCCCAGCACAGGTCCATACGAAGAAACGGAGAAGAAAGAATCCTTTTAACCACAGAAAGGGCTTCATTTGCCCAAACTGAAAACCAAATTTCACTCAGGAAACTAATGTTGGGTTTAATTAAAATATAAATCGGTCATACGTTTTCAAAATTAAATTATATATGTGTTTGTCTCTATAAATATGTCCCCAACTTTGCTCATGGCTTATCTTCCATATTTTTTGGCTGATTTTCAGTGGTTGTCTTATCTTGTGTGGATGAATAGTCATTGAAATAATCTTAATTTCACAATGTGTTTAATTATAAATCTATACTTCCTTTGTGTGAGAGAAAATCTTTTGTGAACAAAATTTAATTTTTGGAAAGCTTTATAAGTCCATATTTTTCCTTTTAAAAATTGCGATTGTGGTAAAAACACATAATGTAAAATTTACCATTTTAATTCTTTTTAAGTGTATATTTCATTAGCGTTAAGTACATTCACATAGTTATGCAAAAGATCTGTAGAACTTCTATGTCTTGCAAAACTAACATTAAATGTCTTTTAAGACAATTGCCCATTTTACCATCTCTTCAGTCCTTGACAAACACCATTCTAACTTTTTTTTTCTATGAGTTTGTCTACTTAAGATACCTGATTATGAATGGAATCATAGACTGTCACTTTGTTCCTGGCTTATTTCAGTTAACGTGATATTCTCAAGAATAATCATATAATGTGACTTTTTAAAGACTGAATAATATTCGACTTTGTGTATGTGCCACTTGTTGTTAATCTCTTCATTGGTCAAGGGACAGCTGGGTTGTTTCTGCCTTTTGGCTTGTGTTAGTAATGCTGCAATAAATTTGGGTGTGCAAATATCTCTTCCGGATCATGTGTTGTATATTTTAAATACATAGCCAGAATGGGGTTTGCTGGATTGTATAATAATCTCATTTTAAATTTTTTGAAGAGCTTTCATACTGTTTTAAAAATAGGTTTGATGTGATAGATTATTGTGACTTTTCTTTGTATTTTTCTAGAAGAGAGTTGTCGAGTATCCTTTTAAATGCCTAGTCATTTCTATGTCTTCTTTGGAGAAAGTCATTTCAAACATGTGCCATTCTAAATCAAGTTATTAACTTTTTTTGTTGTTGAGTTTTAGGAATTTATATATTTTGAAAATTAACACCTACCAAATATGTGATTAGAAAATATTTTTACTCTTTTTAGTTATATGTATGTATGTATGCATATATATAACCCTATACAAGACAGGGTCTTGCTATGTTTTCATGGCTAGTCTCAAACTTTTGGCCTCAAGTGATTGTTCTGCCTTGGCCTCCTAAAGTTGTAGAATTAAAGGCATGAGACACCATGCCTAGCTTTCACCCACTTATTAGGTGACGTTTGTATGGCACTAAATGTTTTATTTGATGTGTAGAATAGTTGAAGCTTAATGTAGTCCCTTTTCTTGGTCGTTGTTCTTTTCCTTGTTGCTTATGAATTTGATGTCAAACTTAAGGAAAGAGTTTTAAGACTTATGTCATAAACTTTTCCCTTATGTTTACTTCTAAGAATTTTATTAAGTTTTATGTTTAAGTATTGAATTCATTTTAAAAACTTTTCTTTTTATATATGATACAAAGGAAGCATCCAACTTTATTTTTTTCTCTGTAAATATTCAATTTGGAAAACTCTTTGTTAAATGGATTCTTATTTTTCTATTGTGTGGTCATGGAAAGCTTACGGAAGATTATTTTATCACATATGCAAGGGTTTATTTCTGGGATCTCTGTTCTGTTTCGTCATCTATGTATCTGTTTTTGTGGCAATACCACATTGTTTTTATTTTTGTAGCTTTGTATCATGATTTTGAATCAGAAAATGTAATACCTCTTTGTTCTTTTTAAAGGGTGTTTGGCTAGTCACCTGTCCTAAGCAACGTTTAGAATTATACACAAAAATTCTGCAAAAAAAATACCATTGGGATTTTGACAAAAATTACCTTACATTTTTATATCATCATGAGTAGTACTGACAACATTTTTTTTTTTTTTTTTTGGAGATGGAGTTTTAGTGAGTCACTCAGGCTGAAGGGCAGGGGTGCGAGATGTGCTCACTGCAGGCTCCGCTTCCCAGGTTCAAGCAATTCTCCAGTCTCAGCCACCAGAGTAGCTGGGATTGCAGTCGTGCACCATCACGTCTAGCTAACTTTTGTATTTTTAGTAGAGATAGGGTTTTGCCATATTCACTAGGCTAGTCTCAAACTTCTGATCTCAAGTGATCCACCCACTTTGGCCTCCCAAAGTCCTAGGATTACAGGCATGAGCCTCATGCCGGCCCTGACATCTTAACAATATTAAATCACTTGACACTTGAGCAAGACTATATGAAAGATTTTGCTTAATTTCCTCTTATTTACATATTTGCCACATTTTCTTGCTTTTGAATTCTAGTTTCATTTACATTGTATGGCTTCAGTTTTCTTAAATTTAATAAGACATGTATCCTAACAGAATGTACCATGTGTGATTTAGAATATTGCAGATTTTGCTCCTTTAAATTGGAGAGTTCTGTAAATGCTGGTTGGGTCTATAATGTTCAGGTTTGGCTTTCTTACTGATATTACTTCTGACTATTCTAGTCATTACTGAAAGTGGAGTCTTGAAGTCCACCATTGTTGTGTTGCTATGTATTTCTTGCTTGACTTCTGTCAATATTTGTTTTACATATTTGAAAGACGAGAATCAGTTGAACCTGGGAGGAGGAGGTTGAAGTGAGCCTATCGAGAGATCATGCCACTGCCCTCCAGCCTGAGAGAAAGAAACTCTGTCTCTAAAAAAAAAAAAAGAAAGAAAGATGTCAGTGCTATTTATAGTAATACAAAAATTTAATGTAATTTTTGTCAAAATCTCAGTGGTATATTTTTGCAGATTTTTCAAATTATATATATATGATTTATAAATTATTGTTATAGATTCCTGGAAAGTTAATCCATCTCACCATTACATAATACCAATCTCTCTCGGCCGGGCGCTGTGGCTGACGCCTGTAGTCTCAGCACTTTGGGAGGCCGAGGCGGGTGAATCATGAGGTCCAGAGATCGAGACCATCCTGGCCAACAAGGTGAAACCCCATCTCTACTAAAAAGTACAAAAATTAGCTGGGTGAGGTGGCGGCGTGTGCCTGTAGTCCCAGCTACTCGGGAAGCTGAAGCAGGAGAATCGATTGAACCAGGGAGGTTGTGGTTGCAGTGAGCCGAGATCGTGCCACTGCACTCCAGCCTGGTGACAGAATGAGACTCTGTCTCCAAAAACAAAAACAAAAACAAAAACACAATACCAATCTGTCTCTTGTTCATATTTTTGATTTAAAATATATTTTGTTTAGTATAATTATGACCATGGCCCTCCAATTTTAGCTACTCTTTGCATAAAATATATTTTCTTTATACTGTTACTTTCAACTTATTTGAGTCCTTAGAGCTGAAGTGACTCTTGTAGAGAGCAAATTGCTGGATCTTCTTTGTTCTTAATCCATTAAATTATTTATTAATTTTCTTTAAGGTATTTAACTTTTTATATTTGAAGGAATTACTGCATTTAATGAAGTTACTTTATTATTTGTAATTGTCTTCTGTGTTTCTAGTAGATGTGTTATTTATCATTTTTTCTCTTACTGCTTTATTTCTGTTTGTTGATTTTGTAGTGACGTGATTGAATTTCTTTCTCATTTGCCTTTGCATACATTCTACAGGTTTTTTTTGGTAATCATCCTGAGAAATAAAGACTTCATAAATCATCTTAAAGTTATGACAGTATAGAACAACTATATTTCAACTGAATGCAAAGTTGTACCTCTTGACACCCCCACTGTTTTATTAATATCGCATATTATCTTTCCTTATGGTCTATGATCACAAATTTATGCAGATTTCTGCCTCATGTTTTAAACTCCATGGCAATATTTTGAAAGTTTTTTGCACCATGATTATGACAGTAGAGATTTCTTTACCTGTTTATATATTTACCTTTAATAGAGAGCTTTCTATTTTCATGTGCTGTTATGATGCTCTGCAGCATCATTTCATTTTTGGACGTGATAGACTCTTTTACACTTCCTTTAGGACTGTTCTAGTGGTTAGTAACACAATCAACTTTTATTTATTTGGAAAGGTTTAGTTTTTTTATTTCTGAAGTGATATTACTCCAGTTGAAGGTTTTTGTTTGGAAGTATTTCTTCTTGTTTAATTATCTTGCCATGTGGGGATTTCTCAGCTACTTTTTAAAAATAACCTCTTTATTACTTTTCTCCTATATTGTTTTTGTAAGACTCCTTTCATAAATATAATGGTCCACTTGACCATGTGCAGTACGTCCCATACTTTTTCCTCCATTCTGCTTAAAAAATTTGTTTTCATCATTCAATATTTATAACTACAATGTCATCAATTGTGTAATTTTTTCTCCTTTATTAGTCTGCTTTTGTGACTGTTGATTAAATTTTTAATATAGCTATTATGTTCTTCAGATTCACAATTGTTGGTTTTTAAAAATCTTTTTATTGATATCTCATTTTCTTTATGTATCACTTCTTCTAATATTCTTTTGTTGTCTATGTTCTGTTTTTGTTCATTAAGCAGTTTTTTCTAATCACATTTTATTGAAAACTGCACTGAATGCTAAATGTCCATCTTTACAATAAACAACTACAGTAACGGTAATTTGCACTACACTAAAACAAAACGTACTTCTGATAGCCATTATTTTTCTGTTTGGGACAGTCTTAAAAATTTCTCTTTTCTTACAAAAACGGGAATGTACCTAATGAAAGGATCAAAACAGGCCATCTTTTTAAACAAAAAGACAATATTCACAAAAGACTATAAATAGAACATGTAACTAATTGATGCAAATCTAATATAATTTGTTAAAATCAGTCACATCCAATACAGCTGAAGTGTTCTTGTATAAAACACAACGTGAAGAAAAGAAGACTTTATCAATGTCTTAAAAAGTGGGTTTGTTCATAGACAATCTGACAAGTTACCATTAAAATTGTTTCCTGTGACATAAGAAAATGCAACACTATTTTTCTTGAACCCTTTTAGTGCAAGACTTCCCACTAAATAAAATAGCAGAGGATCTGAAACTGAGAAAATATACTTGATTACAAACAGCGTGTGAAACTTAATACTTTTTTTTTTTTTGCATTATCAGAGGCTTTTACTGAACTTACAACCAACTTGCCCGCTCAGTATGCAGTTCAGATGTGAGAGACGCTTCTCTGTACAGGAGCCGGTACTGTCTTCAATCCTATGTGTGAGGATGTCTACCACAGGCAAACAGTTTACTCCATATTTTCTAGTAATGTGATCTTCCTATTAGCAAAATGCTGTAACCAGTCCCTGTAGACTGAAGGGACTCAAGTCACAAGATGGGGATTTCCTCCTCATGGTTTTTATTTTGATGTTTGAAGTCTTGATGCAACATTCTGAGCAGGGTGTTCCAGACCTGCTGTGCCCAAGGGACTGATAAAGGAAAAAGTTGTATTCATTCTTTGTGATTTGACGCACAGATGAAAAACTAAACACATAATAACGGAAGTTGGTGGTTAATAAATCACATCCTAGTCTTTCAGAGCTTCCGTAAGCAGAAGACATCTTCAGTTTTCTAGGTCTTGCAGTTTTAACACTGCAAAACCAATGAGCGTATGTCCAGAATCAGCTAAAAAGAGCGTCAGATTCTTTTTCTCTTAGTTTGTCTATTTTTCACTGTCTCTTCTTCAAAAGTGTATCTGAATGATTACCTTCCGGCATTCTCTGTTATTACTCGTTGGGGTGCTCTCGATTGTCCCCGTGTTTGAGGGCTGGTTGGGAGAGGGTGCTTGGGAAGGATGTGCCACTGTGGGGAGTTTGTGAGTCACCGGGATGCCTCCAGGGAATGTCCCTTCCATGGATGCAGGAAGTCCTCCTGGACCCACGCCCAAGATGCCTGGATGAATTTCTTGCTGGTCTATTTCCCACCAAAGCACAGATGTGACAAAGAATTCCTCGTTCACACAGTTTCTTAAGCTTCCTGGGATGCGACCTGTGATGTCTCGGCGGAGCTCGGTGGCAGCTGTCTCCCTCATCTCCAGTGACACCTGCTGGCTGTAGCAGGCAGTGTGAGGAGTGCAGATGAGATTGGGGCCATCTTTCAACGGACCCTGAGCAAAGCTAAAGGGCTGCGACTCATTCACGTCGAGGATTGCACCTCGTATCCTGCCCTCCTTGAGGGCCTGTGCTAAGGCTTTCTCGTCCACCAGGCCACCACGGGCTGCGTTCACAAGGAATGCTCCCTGCCTCATCTGCTTTATGGTAAAGTCATTGATGAGGTGGTGCTTATGTTCGTTGAGACTGCAGTGCAAGGAGACGCAGTCGCTCTGATACAGCCAATCCTGCAGGGTGTAGACCCTCTGCGTGCCCAGGGACTGCTAGATCCCATCCTGCAAGTAGGGGTAATAAAATATGACGCTGAATCCAAAGGCTGTGGCTAGAACTGCAAAAGCCTGCTGCGTGCGACCCTAGCCGATGAGGTCCAGGGTCTTCCCACGAATGCGGGCCACTCCCGAGGCCACCTCGCAGATCTGCTCCATGTTCTGAACCCGCTTGCCTTCCCACAGTGCCTGGCACAGCCATGTGTTCCTCCGGTACATGTTGAGAATGTGGCAGTTGGTGGAATTGGCTGTCCCTTCCACGGCTGTGGACAGGATGTTTCACACAGCAATTCCAAGCTCTCTGGCAGCCTTGATGTCCACGTTGTCATAGCCACTGCCCACCCCCACGATCACTCTCAAGGACTTGAAATTTGCCAGAACCTCCCTGGTGAGGTGATTGTGTGGTGCATCATGGGGCCCACGGCTCTGTTTAGAACTTTCTCCTGGATTTCCTGCGTGGACTGCATCATAGAAGGCCACGGTGGCCAGGTCCTTCAGGATGGGCATGTCCACAGTGCAGTCACGGCCGACCAGGAACGCTGCCAGTGAGCGGGGGCTTAGGGGGTCTTTAGTGATCTGGCGGCGAATTCCTTCACAAATTCTGTCCAATCGCTGTCTCTTGACTTAGCGCTTATCCACAAGGACCATTCTTTAGGGAACTTTGCAACTCTCATATCAAAAGGTAAAGCAGTCCTCTAAGAACTTAGGGGAACTCGCAGGAGTCTGTGTGCATGATGCCACTATGAACCCAATATAAATTTGTTCACAAACTCTATAGTTCACACGATGGGCTGTCCGTCTCTTTAAGGGAATATAGCTTCATTGGTTCAAAACCATTTAAGGTGATGAAACCCATTTGGTTGCAACTCAGCCACCATCGCGCAGTCAATCAACGAATCTCACCACGACCCCAGGTCTGGAGCTCCTGGAGTCCGCGACCGCTGGGGGTGGAGGCGGCTTCGGCCTGGTGCAGCCAGGTCCTTGCTCCTGCTCTGAGCCTCGGGCGTGGGTTGGGGGTCCACCCGGGTGTCCCGCATGGTGTCTAAGCTCCTCCCTTGCCGGAGCCCTGCGGACTGGAGAAGTGTTCATATCATTAAGGAGCTTTGATAATTATTTTGATTTTCAAAATTATATAATGCAAAAACAACAACAACAAAGAATAAACCTACAAATTTTGACCTTTAAAAGTCAACAAAGATTTTTAAAGATCAATATTTGTAGGTTTATTTTATTTCTTCAATTGGGACATGTTTTCGTCCTTTTCTGTATGCCCTGCAATCTTTTGATGAGATTCAGAAATTTATAAAACAACTGTGTAATGTAGTATGTACAAACTTGCTTACTACAAGATAATACAACAATCAGTGAGGCTGTACATCCTGGTACTTCATTAACAGTGTCTTCAATGTGTCTTCTCTGGGCTTGTGTGTGTATTTTTAAGGTAAAGATATTTTTTCCCATTGTTTTCCAGACACTGTGGTCCTTTGCTTCCGCAGTTGATTGTAGTGTTTGTTTCTCTGAGGCTGTGGTAAGCATGTAACTTCTCTTCTCAGCAGTCATAAGTTATCATTCTCATTACTCTGCCATTTCCTTTAGCATTCCCTGTTTGGGGAGACAGAATCTAGTCATCAGCGGTAGCCCACAAAGCCAAACCTTTGAACATATGTTCCACTGTTCTCATTCTACACTGAGGGATATACTAAAAGTTGGACGTTTTCTCTTGAGCCCAATTGCTGTTCTGGGAAAGAAGAAGGGATGTGGTGAATATAAGCCAGACCTGGTTGCCTCGTACAGCAAGCTTTTCCAACCCGCCTTGTTTTGTTTTTGTTATGGCTCTGTTTTGTTTTAGGTTTTTAGCAGCCTGCAGCAATGGTTTTTGGGTTCTGTGTCTAGTGATAAGTGGAAAAGGAGGATGAGGAAAGGACCTTACTGGCTCAACCAGAAACAGAAACTAAGAACTCATGGCTGTAGTCTCCCGTGGATGCCCCTGTCCTACAGTAAAGGAAATATCTTTGGAATGTAAAAAGAGAGAGAATAATAGGCAACACCCCAATAGGGAAGAATGAACAAATAACAAAGATGAGAGGTGCAAAGGCCAAGGAGAAAACCTTAAAAACGTGGTGTTGGAAGTTCTGCTTCAAAGAAATTGGTTCTGGAAAATTCTAAATTTACTTCTTTTGCTGCCACAGGTGGAAATTTCCTACCCTATGCTTATTATGCTCTTAAATCTTCTAAGGCTTCTCTGTTCATCCACTAACATTCCAGGGCATTCACAGTGACAGCCAAAGTTCGCCTCTTCTTTCTGCTATTCCCATGAAGCTCTTGTGGTCTGAGTGCTTTTCCATTGTTTTTGGGATCTGAGGAAATCTGCACATTTTGTGAGACTTCTATGTTAAGCTGTTTTGTAAAAATCTGTGCCTCATGTCAGAAGTTTGTGAGAGCAAAAGTGCAGGCATTGGGGTTTGGTTCACATATTTCAGAAACACCAAGAACAAATGTTTCTTCCTCATAATTTTCAGTCCTATGATTTCAAATGTGTTCCTGCAAAAAAATCAGAAAAAAAATTTATCAGAGCCCAAAGCACCTCAGCACATATGATAAAGTTGAATCTTCTATTTCACTTTATTCTTTTTTTCATCTCTGGTAATGTAGGTCAAAAAGTTTTCTTTCCCTTAGTAGAAACTAACTTAGAAATGTGAACTCTCTATGCCAAACATGTCACCTGTGGAATAGTTTATTGTATCTACTCATCTCAAAGAATTTTTAAGGACCTTAATCCATAGAAAAACTTAGAAACATGCCAGGAATAGAACAAATTCTTAACTGTTACATTATTTCTTAATGAGTTATTTTATTAATTAATCTTATATAAAGCTTAGTGGGACTGTGATCTGTACGTTTTCCCTGTCCTGTTTTTACGTATGTCAAATTAGCCTATAACTTTAGCTTCAGGGGTTTCAGAAAACATACTTGAATTTATGTGTTATATAAAAAGTGAATTGGATAGTATGCACATCACATTAAGAAAAGTTTTAGTTTGTGTCTAAGTTCACTGCATAGAAAAACTTATCATTAGTGTTTCCATTTACTTTCCTCAACATTTATCTGAATGATAGTATAATTTATTTCTAATTGCTTATTATATTGTAGTTTTCCACAGCATATTTTACAATATTCATGTTGTTCCCATATGTAAAAATGTAAGGCTTTTCTTTGTTTTAAAAATAATAAATTATAGGCCAGTGCTGTGTTTCATGCTTGTAATCGCAGCACATTAAAAGGTTGAGATAGGTGGATCACGAGGTCAGGAGTTCAAGACCAGCCTGGCCAACATGGTGAAATCCTGTCTCTACTAAAACTACAAAAAATATCGCCGGCGAGGAGCGGTGACTCAAGCCTGTAATCCCAGTACTTTGGGAGGCCGAGACGGGTGGATCACGAGGTCAGAAGATCAAGACCTTCCTGGCTAACACGGTGAAACCCCGTGTATACTAAAAATACACAAAAATTAGCCGGGCGTGATGGTGGGCGCCTGTAGTCCCAGCTACTCAGGAGGCTGAGGCAGGAGAATGGCGTGAACCAGGGAGGTGGAGGTTGCAGTGAGCCGAGGTGTCGCCACTACACTCCAGCCTGGGTGACAAAGCGAGACTCCATCTCAAAAAATTAAAAAAAATAAATAAATTATAGCCTTTCCATTTGTATAAAAAGAGGAGTAATACATTAAGAACATAATAAAAAGTGTCTCTAATATCATTGAAATCTTTATTAAAATTTTCTTCTAAATGCTCTTTATGGGAGATTATAATGTATTTGTTGTGCAATTTTGTTACTCTAACCATATGCTAAGAATTCAAAATCTGCTCTTTATGGGAGCCCAGTTATGGTTGAACATGCTAGTTATCTAGAAAGAGTCTTCTTCCGTTGCATGCTTTGTTTATTCGGTATTTCACAGGCTAATGTTTATTTAATTTTATTTTCTAATATTATATATTCTTGTATTTCCTTGTTAGGATAGGCTGCCTTACATTATTTAATTGTGTTTTTAGATTCTGCCTATATATTATAATTTTGTATGACTATATTCAACTGTGTACAGTTGAATATGAATCAGTCAAATATGAATCAAACACACGTCTATTGCCAACATAATTCTCTGTTCATTTGCCTGTATAAACATTACTCATACTTTATTTATGACTTGTGTATTTGTTTTATTAGTTGGTGGTCAATTATTTTTTTAATCCTCTCTGGGTGAGTAGTTGTGGAAATTGTCTTAATTTCCACTTCTATATATTAATGAATCTATATTACTTTTGTGTTGAAGGAAACACTTCTGTGATTTGAAGTTAATTTTTTTTTACCTCTGAACTTTTTACTGGCCTCCTGCTCCCCAAAGGGACCTTGCTTCTGATGGCTTAGCACAACAAAACGTCTGTATTGTTGGTCTCAGACACCACTTTCCCGTCCACTATCCTGCGGGGGCTGTTCTTTTGGATAGCTTGCAGGTATTTACTGCTGTCCAGAGCATCCAGGAGATTGAAATCCTCCCCGTCTTCTAGCAGGCGGCAGTAAGTGGCAATCTCAGCCTCCAGCTCGACCTTGATGTTCCACAGGTCCTCGTGCTCTTGGGCGTGGTACCTCTCTTCCCGGTTTTGGGATAGCTCTGACTCCAGGTGCAGCAGGATCCTGTTGAGCTGCTCCATCTGCGTCTACCTCCCTTAGGCTGTTCTCCAAGCTGACTTTCAGATATCTCATTGAGTCCAGTTCGATATCCAAGGACTGGACTGTACATCTCAACCCCCTGAGCATCCTCTCAGCAGCTCCGATCTCAGCGGACTGCATGGTGACTACTCTGGTGCTCTCCTCAGTCTGCTGGGACCAGTACTTGTCCAGCTCCTCTCAGCTGTTCTCAGCCATCTCGTCATATTGGGCCCAGATGCCTGTCATGATCTTGCCAAGGTCCTGAGACTTGGGGACATCTACCTCCATGGTCAACCAAGAGCTGGAAATCAGGTATTATAGACCTTTAACTTCCTCCTCATGATTCTTCATGAAGAGCAGCTCTTCCTTGAGGGCCTCCATCTCTGTCTCCAGCAGAGGCTGACTGACACTGGTGTTATCAGTAATGTCGCACTCCACAAACTGGCACATGGCCAGGTCTGTCTCACACTTTAAAGTCATCAGCAGCAAAATGATCATTGTCAGTCTGCAGGATGATGCAGGCACTGTCTGCAGCAGTGGCAAAGATTTTTTTATTAGTCTAATTGTCTGTCTTTATGCCAGTAACATAACATTTTGATTACTGTAGATTTCTAACATGTCTTGAAATCAGGAATTGTAATGCTTCCAACTTTTTTTATGTGGTCCCCTGAAATTCCGTATACTTTGGGGAGTCACATTCTCTGTTTCTGTCAAAAATAATATTAAGAATTTCATAGGGATTGTATTAAATCTGCAGCTCACTTTGGGCATTATAGACACGTTCAAAATATTAAATTTTTAACTCTTGAACAAAAACATGTTGAAGAATAAATTGTTTAATTATCATGTATTTGTGAATTTTATGAATTTTCTTCGGTTATTGATTTCTAGTTTTAATCCATTTTGGTCAGAAATTATAGTCTGTAGCCTTCAATTTTTATTATACTTTAAGTTCTAGGATACATGTGCAGAACGTACAGGTTTGTTATACAGGTATACATGTGTTATGTTGGTTTGCTGCACCCATCAACTCAACATTTACATTAAGCGTTCTCCTAATGCTATCCCTTTCATAGCCCCCCACCCCCAAACAGGCACTAGCGTTTGATGTTCCCTGTCCTGTGTCCACATGTTCTCATTGTTTAACTCCTACCTATGAGTGAAAACATGCAGTGTTTGTTTTTCTGTCCTTGTGATAGTTTGCTGAGAATGATGGTTTCCAGCTTCATCCATGTCCCTGCAAATGACATGAACTCATCCTTTTTTAAGGCTGCGTAGTATTCCATGGGGTATATGTGTCACAATTTCTTAATCCAGTCTATCATTGATGGACATTTGGGTTGGTTCCAAGACTTTGCTATTCTGAACAGTGCCACAATAAACATATGTGTGCATGTGTTTTTATAGTAGCATGATTCATAATCCTTTGGATATATACCCAGTAATGGGATTGCTGGGTCAAATGGTATTTCTGGTTGTAGATACTTGAGGAATTACCACACTGTCTTCCACAGTGTTTGAACTAATTTACACTCCAACCCACAGTGTAAAAGCGTTTTTGTTTTTCCACGTCCTCTCCAGCATCTGTTGTTTCCTGACATTTTAATGATCCCCATTCTAACTAGCGTAAGATGGTATCTCATTGTGGTTTTCATTTGCATTTCTCTGATGACCAGTGATGATGAGCAATTTTTCATGTCTGTTGGTTACATAAATGTCTTCTTTTGAGAAGTGTCTGTTCATATCCTTTGCCCACTTTTTGATGGGATTGCTCGTTTTTTTCTTGTAAATTTGTTTAAATTCTTTGTAGATTCTGGATGTGAGTCCTTTGTCAGATGGGTAGATTGCAAAAATTTTCTCCCATTCTGTAGGTTGCCTGTTCACTCTAATGATAGTTTCGTTTGCTGTGTAGAAGCTTTTAAGTTTAATTAGATTTCATTTGTCTATTTTGGCTTTTGTTGCCATTGTTTTTGGTGTTTTAGTCATGAAGTCTTTGCCCATGCCTATGTCCTGAATGGTATTGCCCAGGTTTTCTCTTAGGTTTTTATGGTTTTGGGTCTTACATTTAAGTCTTTAATCCATCTTGAGTCAATTTATGTATAGGGTGTAAGGAAGAAATCCAGTTTCAGTTTTCTGCATATGGCTCGCCATTTTTCCCAGCAACATTTATTAAATAAGGAATCCTTTCCCCATTGTTTGTTTTTGTCACATTTGTCGAAGATCCAATGGTTGTAGATGTGTGATGGTATTTCTGAGGCCTCTGTTTTTTTCCATTGCTCTATATATCTGTTTTGGTACCAGTACCATGCTGTTTTGGTTACTGTAGACCTGTAGTATAGATTGAAGTCAGGTAGTGTGATACCTGCAGCTTTTCTCTTTTTGTGTAGGATTTTCTTGCCTATGCAGGCTGTTTTTTGGTTCCATGTGAACTTCAAAGTAGTTTTTTCCAATTCTGTGAAGAAAGTCAGTGGTAGCTTGATGGGGATAGCATTGAATCTATAAGTTATCTTGGGCAGCATGGTCATTTTCATGATATTGATTCTTCCTTTCCAGGAGCATGGAATGTTCTTCCATTTGTTTGTGTCCGCTTTTATTTCATGGAGCAGTGGTTTGTAGTTCTCCTTGAAAATGTCCTTCACATCCCTTGTAAGTTGGATTCCTAGGTATTTTATTCTCTTTGTAGCAATTGTTGAGTGGGAGTTCACTCATAATTTGGCTCTCTGTTCGTCTGTTATTGGTGTATGGAAATACTTGTGATTTTTGCACATTATTTTGTATCCTGAGACTTTGCTGAAGTTGCTTATCAGATTTAAGGAGATTTTGGGCTGAGACAATGGGGTTTTCTAAATATACAATCATGTCATCTGCAAACAGAGACAATTTGGCTTCCTCTTTTTCCTAATCGAATGTCCTTTATTTCTTTCTCTTGCCTGATGGCCCTGGCCAGAACTTCCAATACTATGTTGAGTGGGAGTGGTGAGAGAGGGCATCGTTGTCTTGTGCTGGTTTTCAAAGGGAATGCTTCCAGGTTTTGCCCATTCTGCATGATATTGGCTGTGGGTTTGTCATAAATAGCTCTTATTATTTTCAGATGTGTTCCATCAATACCTAGTTTATTTAGAGTTTTTATCATGAAAGGCTGTTGAGTTTTGTTGAAGGCCTTTTCTGCATCTATTGAGATAGTCATGAGATTTTTGTCATTGGTTCTGTTTATGTGATGAATTATGTTTATTGATTTGCATATGTTGAACCAGGCTTGCATCCCAGGGATGAAGCTGAATTGATCGTGGTGGGTAAGCTTTTGGATGTGCTGCTGGATTTGGTTTGTCAGCATTTTATTGAGGATGTTTGCATTGATGTTCATCAGGGATATTGTTTTTTTGTTGTGCTTCTGCCAGGCTTTGGTATCAGGATGATGCTGACCTCATAAAATGAGTTAAGGAAGATTCCCTCTTTTTCTCTTGATTCGAATAGTTTCAGAAGGGATGGTAGCAGCTCCTCTTTGTACCTCTGGTAGAATTCAGTTGTGAATTCGTCTGGTCATGGACTTTTTTTGGTTCATAAGCTATTAATTATTGCCTCAATTTCAGAACCTGCTATTGGTCTACTCAGAGATTCAACTTCTTCCTCGTTTAGTCTTGGAGGTGTGGATGTTTCCAGGAACTTATCAATTTCTTCTAGGTTTTCCACTTTATTTCCGTAGAGGTTTTTATAGTATTCTCTGATGGTAGTTTGTATTTCTGTGGGTTTCGTGGTGATATCCCCTTTGTCGTTTTTTATTGCGTCTCTTTGATTCTTCTCTCTTTTCTCCTTTATTTGTCTCACTAGTGGTCTATTTTGTTAATCTTTTCAAAAAACCGGCTCCTGGGTTGATTGATTTTTTGAAGTGTTTTCTGTAACATTCAATTTTTTTTAATTCTGTTAAAAAATTTTTTTCCTTATATTTATTTTTAGGACAATGTTTTATGAGCTTTTGACAAGACTGTGAGTTTTGTTGTTGTGTAGAGTGATCTCTATGCATCTGTTACATCTAACTGTTTTACAGTATTTTCATGTCCTCTGTTTTCTTCTTAACATTCTCTCTGGCTTTATTATTAATTACAGAACTGGTGTATTAAAATATTGTTCTCAGTATATTGCAGTTTTTTGTTTATGTTCTGACAAAATATTATTGATTTATTTTAAAATCTTCATGTGAGGTTCATATATATGTGTGTCTGTATACATAATTAGATAAATACACACAATTATATAAACATATATTATATAAATGTATATAATTTTCCTAGGTTTCCAGTGAATAAACTTTTTTATTATTTTGTCCTTTGTTTTCTTTGACAGTTTTAACTTATAATTTATTTTATAAACTAAGACAGTTATTTAAAAAGTATTTTGCATAATGTGCTCGTGACGTTGTCTTCATTTCATTATGATTTGCATAAAATTGTTTTGATGCATCTTGCCACTTTTAGTCTGTTTTTGTTACTATATAGTAAGATGGCTCATATCTGTCATCCGAGCATTTTAGGAGATTGAGGTGGGAGGTTAACTTGAGCCCAGAAGTTTGAGACCAGCCTGGGAAACAAAGCAATACCATGTCTCTAAAATAAATAAATAAATAAATAAATAAATAAATTGAATCCCCTGTAGACAGATGTAGTTAGATTTTATTTTATTTTTTATCTCTGTACTCTATTTATGACTTTTGTTTGAGAAGTTTAGTTTGTGAGTAGCTACATAATTTCCTGCATTTGAAGGAATTACTTTTGACACTTTTTGGAGTAAAAGGTAAATATTAAATTTGAACTCAATTGGACATGGACTCAAACAATGGTCACCAAGTCCCGGAACAGGTTGTGTGAGCCCCTTGAAGCCCTCATCCAGCGCTGTTTCAGATAAATCTCTATTTCAATTTATTCCTATATCTTAGTTATTGAAAAACAATAGACAATCAAAAAAACAAGTTGACCTTTTTGTGTTCCTTGAGCCCCGTTGTGAATAGCCTTCCTGACCGGACTTCATGCCAAATAACTCATTACAAAAAGAGCTGGGGTTCCAGACTGCGCCAAAGCTTCATGAGATCTCACGTTGTCTGTGGACGGATGAGTGGCCAATCTGGAGCCCAGGCTGTTGCTTCACAGTCTCGTGGTGAATCCTCCATAGTTTGGTGAGTTTAAATATATATATATATCTTTTCCCTTCTCCCCGTCCCATTGCAACTTGCTTATATATTTGCTTATTATATCTGCATTGCCATTTAAGTGGGATAAAGTTTGTTTGAATCACTGGCTGTGCGTGAGGTGCAGCAGGGAGTCCCAGTTGGTAATTGTAATGCTGAGGGAATTTCCCAGCATTGATGATGCTTGCTTACTGCTTATAAGTTAAAGTGTCAATATAGGGACTGGTTGTTACAAGAGAAATGTAAGCTGGAAAAGGAAAATTTTAATCTGACTTCCAGACTGGCCCTGGTACCATGCCAGGCCTGTCTTGACTGATCAGGCTCAAAGCTATCAGCCTATTGCTGAAAAAGCAGCTGTCCGAGTTGCCCAGTCAGGGTAAAACTGAATAACTAGTCAGTTTTCAGGGCAGAAGAGGGTAAAAACCCAAATCCTATCTCAAGGATGGGAAGTTAACTCTAATAAAATTCAATGGCCTGCACAAAGTGTAAAGTTCCTTGGCATCCTATGGACTGCAGGGAAACAGTCCATTTTACCAAAGGCTAACACTAAAATACTAGAATTTGCAGCCCTACCACTGAAAAGGAGGTCCAAAATTGTATTGGCTTGTTTGGATTCTGGAGACATCATATTCCCCACTTGGGTAACATATTACAACCTCTGCATGCAGTCACTAGAAAACACTATGAATATCACTGGAGAGAGAAAGACAGCCTGGCTTTTCAACAAGCAAAACAAGCTGAGCAACTGGCCCTGGATCTATGGCCCTTATAGGATGAGTCAACAGAACTGCAAGTAACTGTCCTACATCAACATGCTAATTGGAGCCTTAGGTAGAAACAAGATGGGAAGAAGATACCTTTGGAGTTTTAGACCCAGAAGCTGCCAGAGGCTGGCAAAGCTTATACTCTTTGAGAAGCAGCTGTTGGCCTTCTACTGCGCTTGAAGGAAGCAGAACACCTTTGTTTTAATCATGATGTTTTTATGAGGCCCCAAATTCCTATTATGACTTGGGTCATGAGCTCCCTCAAACCCATTGGATAGGGTACACTCAAGAATGTAGTATCATAAAATGGAAATGGTACATACAAGACCAGGATAAGCCAGAACTAAAAGCGGTATCATTTTTACATGAAGATGTGCAAAACTTGCCAACTCAGGAAACCACAGGGCAAGTCCTGCTTATAGGGAAGGAAACCTCCCCTGCCCAATGGGGCAAATCCTTTAAAGAACTAAGCCCAGAGGATCAGAAACACGCTTGGTTACTGATGGTTCCACCAAATACATTGATGGGACCTGATGCTGGGAGGCCGTGGCTTATAATCCTGTTAAAAACATAAGCGTTTCTGATGAAGGGAGGGGTGTGAGCAGCCAGCTGGCTGAACTAGAAGCCATCCTCCGAACTATTCAGGAGGAGGCCAGAGCAATTTGTTGCTTGTATACCGACTGTTGGTCAGCAGAAAATGGTCTTACTACCTAGTTGCCCGAATGGCAATGAAACAAATGGTGAATAATGAATAAAGAGGTTTGGAGAAAACAATACTAGGAAGATACCTGAATCCTGATGCACATTACTATTATTGCTGTTTTTCATATTGATTCTCATGCATCTCTGCATTCTCTTGACAGACTAAACAGCAGGTAGATCAACAGGCCAAAATTTCCAGCATAAATGCAAACTTGAATGTGGGTGAATGGATTACAACACATTCAAGCCTGGCGATGAGACACTTTATAATGTATGGTGGTATAATTGATAATGATTACCAGGAAGAGTTAAAGTTCACTTTACACAATACCACTCCACATTCTTTTGTTACAAGACTGCAGATTCGGGTTGCTCAATTGTCAGTGGTACCTGGTACCTTGTTAACAATTAACCCCTGAGGAAATCTCTGCCCCAACAGAGGCTACGTACAGAACTGGGAAATTAAGATCCACTGGTATAGGTAGCTTAAATCCTGGAGCGAAAATATGGATACAGCCTCCATCAGATCCCACTCCTAAGGCTGGTGACCTTGTAGCTATGGGAGCAGAAAATAAAAGGGTAGTACAGTTTCCTAAAAATGAAAAACCATATCATGTTCCCCTTCAGTTTTGTTGTTACAGAGAATAACCTGTCTACTAGTAATCAGTACCTGGGTCATCAGGTCTGAGGTGGAGAGTGAATTCATCAACTGGGCAGCAACCACTGCGACAGAAGCCAACCACAGTCAATGCTGGCTATGCATCAAATTGCCAGAGGCCACAGGAAATGGACTGCCTTGCAGAGTTGTCCTTGCCAATATTTCTGAATGGCTCTGTCACTACAAATGGGGCCAAAACAACAACACTTGCAATCCAACCTGGACTTCCTTTGCTACTTTAATAACATCTTAATACACTATAATTGTAGTATAACCATTGCTGTCCCCTAGGGGGCCCTCTGGGTATGCAGACCCTATGGGTGGCCTACCTGCCCCCTTATTGGATGGGGATATTCACTTGGGGGTGCCATTAATTCCATTCACCATCCGGGATAATATTCCCTTCCCCAATAATCTAGATGCTTACAAAGGTAGCTGGTTATGAACGTGCCAGACTCCCTGGTGGTGGAAAACTATCACAGTATTCTCCCTTGCCCCTCGTACAATCCTGCTTCAGCAACAAATTAAAATATTAAGTCCACATATAGTAAAAGCTCCTAAGATAGTAGCACTGGACTTCTGTTGTTATCAGAAGAACTTGTTCAGCTGTGTACTGTTGTGTTGCAAAATCGAATGGCATGAGGTATGTTTACCGCAGCCCAAGGAGGGGTTTGAGTCTTGCTGCATTCTGAATGTTGTGTGTATCCCTGACAGTTCTCGCAGTATTACTCTCCTTGCCGAAGACATGCAAGGACAAGTAAAACAGTTAGAATCTAACCATCAGGACCCCATCATGGACTGGCTGTCAAACTAGCATTGGCGTTGGCCGTGGTGGGTGTGGTTTCTATTAATTGTGCTTTTAATTCTCCTCTGCTCTATCTGTAATCTATACCAGTTGTGACTTCCCCTTATAACTGTAAAAATATTTTCCTATGATTCAGTGTCAAATTGAGGCTGAATGAGGAGGAAAAGTTAAATATTAAATTTGAACTCAATGAACATGGACAGAAACAATGGTCACTAAGTCCTGGAACAGGTTGTGTGAACCCCTTGTGGAATTCATCCAGCACTGTTTCTGAGAAATAGTTATTGAAAAACAACAGAAAATCGCAAAAACAAGTAGGCCTTTTCGTTTTCCTTGAGTCCAGTCACGAAGGGCCCTTGTGAGTTGGCCTCATGCCGAACAAATCGTTACAAAAAAAGCTATGGTCCCAGACTGTGCTGAAGCTTAATGAGACCTCTCCTTGTCTGTGCAGGGGTGGGTGGCTGACTCTGGAGTCCAGGCTGACGCTTTCCTATAGGCAAAGCTCAGGGAACAGAGGAGAGTCACATCAAATAGTTGATGAGTCAAGAGATATGTCACAGGGACTCCTGTATGCAGGGTCCAGACAGGAAATCCACATCGTTTTGGTGCTGAGCCCAGCAATATATTACAATGTCTTCTGAGGGAAGAACCAAGGCAAAAAATTAATGTCACTTTGGTGTTAAGCCCAGTGATACATCACAATTTCCACTGCAGGAAGAACCTAGGCAGAAGAGAATAGTTACATCAGCTAGATGGTGCCCCCATTGATATGTCACAATCTCCACTTGAACAGGAATCAGTCAGCAGAAGCAAGTCACATCACCTGAGTGATGGGTGCAGAGATAAGTCACAATGTCCCCTGTAGGCAGAGCACAGAAAGGAGAGCTGCATAACCTGGGTGTTGGACCCAGCAATATAGCTTATATGGTAGACCCCTGGCAGAAAAATTACAAAACATGGGTGCAGCACCAAGTATATGTTATAATGTCCCCTGTGAGCAGCACCAAGGCAGGACAGGAGACTCGCATCACTTGGTTGCTAAGACAAGTGATCTGCTACAATCTTCTTTGTAGGCAGGGTGCACACACTTTTTTTAGGTGGTGAATGCAGAGAGATGTCCCAAGGCCCCCTGTGAACAGGGCTCAGGCAGTAGCCATCAATTCCCTAGGTATTATGCCCAGCAGTATGTCACAATATACAAAATATGCAGGGCCCAGGGAAAAGAGGAGAGTCACATCATGTGGGTGCTTGTCCCAGTGATTTGTTACAATCTCTCTTTTTGACAGGACCCAGGCAGAAGAGGGGGGTCATAGGTGCTGGGTTCAATAATGTCACAATTTTATCATGGGCTGGGCTACGCAGAAGAGTCAAGTCACTCACGAGCTGGGCCGAGATATATTTCACAGTTATACCTCCAGGAAAGTCCAGGGTTGAGACTGACAATCCTGCACATGTCCCATATCTAGGTGTGAGAGCAAACACATTCTGTTTGTTGGGTCTAAGTGTAGAAGTCACAGTCTCAATGGTGCACTGGATCTGTGCATGGCAGCTTCAGTCTTTCCCGAGGACCGTGGCCCCTTAATGGAGTCACAGCCTCACGTGTTTGCTGAATGTTGGTTTTAGAGTCACTGACTCAAACATGGATCGCATCCACTTATGAGAGTCAATTATTCATCTCTCAACCGCCTCCAGGTGTGAGATTTGGAACCTCAACAATGGGCTGTGTTCATGTGAAAAGATGACAATTTTTACTCTTGGCTCAGCGTAGATATGAGTGTCACAATCTACTTTTGTTCTGGGCCCTGTCAGGACACTCTCTTCACCATATGCAGCCTTTATAGAGTATGCATGAGTGTAACAATTCTCTCTGAAACCTTAAGCAGGCACGGACCCCTCCTTGTACCTTTAGCTTTAAGCCCTGGTATGACAGTCAACATCTTTCTACTTGGATGGGTCCAAATAAGAGTTCTTAACTGCCTATGAGCGGCGTTTAAAAATGAGTCACCATCCCACCTGTGGCTGGATGTTCACATATGAAAGTCACAATCCCAGTTGTGGACTGTGTCTGCATGTGTAATTCAGGACCTCAAGAGTGGGCTCTCTCCACGTGTGATAGAGACCATCCTGAATATTGGTGTGGTGTGCATCTGAGAAGTATAATCTCACCAGTGTGGCGAGCCCTGTGGTGACAATTTCTCTACCATAGTTTACACAATATGCAAGACAGTGGTACTCCTCCGTGTGACGTATCACTGGGCCTTGCACACAGGTAATGTGAGTCTCCTCTCCTGCCTTGGAACGCTCACAGGAGGCATTGGGTCATACCACTGAAGCTGATATTCAGGTTATGTGCCTGTCTTTCCTGTGCTCTGTCCATGGGCTTTTGTGACATATTTCTGGGTCCAAAACACAGGTGACATAACTCTCCTGTCTGAACTCTGCCTAGAGAGGGCATGGTGGCATATCTCTGCACCAGCCACTAGATGATGTGACTCTATCTTCTGTCTAGTCTCTG
This sequence comes from Homo sapiens, assembly GCF_000001405.40. Classification (NCBI taxonomy): domain Eukaryota; kingdom Metazoa; phylum Chordata; class Mammalia; order Primates; family Hominidae; genus Homo; species Homo sapiens. The sequence continues at coordinate 310,468 of NW_021160023.1, read as the reverse complement.
CCTACAGGGTGAATTGTGACTTATCACCCGGCGCAGCATTTAGCTAATGTGACTCTTCCCTTTTTTCAGGTTCTGCCCTCGGGGGAGATTGTGACATATCGATTTGTAAAACACCAAAATGATTTTACTCTTTTGTCTTGGCTCTGCCCTCAGAAGGTTTTGGGATATATTGCTGAACAAGCACCAAGGTAATGTGATTGTCCTACCTGAACCCTGCCCACAGGGAGCATTGTGACATATCTCTGAGCCCATGAACTATTTGATGTGGCTCTATTCTCTTACCTGGACTTTGCCCATGAGAAAGACTGTGACGTATTTCTTGGTCCAGTGCTTAGGTAATGTGATTCTCCTCTCCAGCCTGAGACATGCCCACAGAAGTAAGAGTGACATCTCTGGGCCTAGCCCACAGGTGATGTGAACCTTATCCCTTGTTTCTGCCCAGGGGAGTCATTGTGATGTATCTCTGAGACCATTATAAGAATGATGTGACTCTCCTGTTCTTACTGCGACCTGTCCACAGTGGGGATGATGATGTATCACTTAGGCCAGCACATATGTGGTGTGACTCTCTTTTCATGCCTGTGCCCTGCCCCCTGGGCTAATTGTGACATATAACTGGGCCCCTCCCCTAGGTTATGCAACATATCCCTGTGATAACACTCTTTGTACCATTTAAGAGCTTTATATAATATGAGAGAGTTGTATTCCTCTAAGTCCTTCATACAAAAGGAAGAGTTAAGACCTACCGGTTTTCCAAAGCCTCCCTATGAAAAACAGCATTTCTCTTAGTGGCAGGTTTGAGGTATGAGAGTCATTATTACACCTGTGAGCTGGCCAAGATATATGTTTCAATCTCTTCTGTGGGTAGGGAGTGAGCAAGAGAGTCACGTCACCGGGATGCTTGGCCTGAGATCTGTCAATATCTTCCCTGATGGCAGGGAACAGGTAGGAGAGTCACATACCTAAGGCTGGGCCAGGGATATGTAACAATGTTTTCTGAGGTCAGAGGCTAGGAGGGGAGTCCCATCACTTGTGTGCTCACAGGGGATATGTTACAATCCCCTCCTGAAATCAGAGTACAAGCAGCAGAGTCAAATCACCTGAATATTGAGCTCAGTGATATGTCACCACACTCCCTGTGGGCAAGGCCATGGCAGGAGAGAAACATCACCTGATTACTGATTACTGGGCCTAGTGATATGTCAGAATCTTTCCTGTGGGCAAGGTGCAGGCAGAAAGGAGAGTCACATCATCTGGTGTTGGAAGCAGAAATATGCTACAAGGCTCACTGTGGACAGAGTTCAGGCAGGAGCCTCTAATCTCCTAGGTGTTAAGTTCAGTGATACGTTACAATGCTCCCTGTGGGCAGCACAAAGGCAAGAGAATAGAGCCACATCACCTATGTTCTAGGTCCAATGATATGTCCCAATTTTATTTGTGAGCTGGGCTTAAACAGAAGAGTCTAATCACTCAGGTGCTGGACAAATGTGTATGCTTGTCACAATGACACCTGCAGGAAAGTCCAGATATGGGATGAATCCCGCACATATTCTGGTTTTACGCATGAGAGTGAACACCTTCTGTATGTTTGATCTAAGTACACAAGTCACTATCTCAATAGTGGACTAAATTTGTGCATGGCAGCCCCATTTTCTCTTGCGTACTTTGTCCCCTAATTGAAATCACAGCTTCCTAGGTGTGCTGACTCATGATCTGAGAGTCATCAACACATCTGTGACTCTCAAATATGAGAGTCAATTTTTCAACTTTTCAATCTGCCTTTGGGTATGGGATTCAGAGCCTCAAAAGTGAACTATGATCATGTGAAAGAACGACAATCTTTAATGTTGGCTGGGTGTGCATCCCAATGTCATTATATTACTGTGTGCTGAGCCCTATTAGGACTTTCTGTGTTGCACCTGACGGCTTTATGTTGTATGCATGACAGTCTCAATTCTTTCAGAGATTTTCATGCTGGTATGGACCCATGATCAAACCTGTGGCCCTAAGCCTATATATGAGTCAACATCTTTACAATTGGCGGGGTCCGGATAAGAGAATCATCAGCTTTCTATGCGCTGGGTTTATAACGAAGTTCCCATTCCAACTCTGGCCAGATCTTTACATATGAGATTCGCAATTCCAACTATAAACTGCATTCATGTGTGAAATTCAGGACCTCACCAGTGGGTTCTGTTTATATGTGAGGGTGAAAATCATAATGGTCAGGAGGGTGCAGGGTGCGCATAGGAGTAACAAATTTCACCTGTGTGCTGGGCCCTGTGATAAGACTCTCTACTACCCGAGGGCTTTCTGTAATATATGAGAGAGTGGATGATCTTAGCGAGGAGACCCAGGGTTTTTTTTCATTTCCCTAAGTGTAGCTAGGAGAAGCAGTATCTCTTCTATTGGCTGGTTTGACATATGAATGTCATCATTGCACCTGTGTGTTGTGTTCCAAGATATATGTCACAATTACACCTGCATATAGGAAGAGAGCAGGAGAGTAAAATCAGTTGGACGCTGGGCCAGTGATATGTCGCTTCCCTGAGGACAGGGACCAGGCAACAGTCACATTACCTGAATGTTCAGGCATTGGTATGTTGCAATCCACTCCTCACATTAGGAACCAGGCAGCAGAGACACATCACCTGCATGCTGGATCTAGCAATATTTCACAATCCTCTCTGTGGTCAGGATGCAGGCAGAAGAGTCACATCTTCTTGGTGATGAATGCAGAAATATGTCACAAGCTTCACTGCACGTAAGGTAGAGGAATAAACCTCTTATTCCCTAAGTGTTGGGCCCAGGGATATGTCACAATACCCAAAATATGCAAACCCAGGCAAAAGAGAACAGTCACATTACCTTGGTGTTAGGGTCAGTGATATGTCACAATCCCCTCTTTTGGAAGGGCCCAGGTAAGAGTGGAGAGTCACATCGCCTAGGCAATGAATAGAAGAGTATGTCATAATACCCCTGTTGGCAAGACCTATGCAGAAGAGTCACATCACCTATGTGTTCAACCCAGATATATGTTACTGTACACCATGTATGCAGGGCCCAGGCAAGAGAAAAGGCCACATCACCTCCGTTCTGGGCCCAGCAATATATCACAATTCCCCCTAAGAGGAGGTAACAGACAGCAGAGTCACATCACCTAGGTCTGAGGAGCAGAGCTATATGGTAGTGCCCTGTGTGTGTGGGCCCAAAAATAGAGGAGAGTTACATCACCTGAAGACTGTACCCAGCTATAAGTTTCAATCACCCCTGTGGGCAGCACCCAAGCATGAGAAGAGAGTACCATCATGTAGGTGCTGTGCCAGGCTGTATTTCACAATCTCCACTATGGATAGGTTTCAGGGGGAAGAGGAGCATTACATTATCTAGTTGATGAGTCTAGAGATATGTCAAAATGACCCCTCTGGAGACACCAGGTTGCAGAATCACATGACCTGTGTGCTGGGTCTAGGAATAACCCACTCTCCCTTCTGTAAACATGGCCACGGCAGAAGATGAGGGTCACATATTTAAGGTGATGAACGCGGAAAGATTTCACAAGGCTCCCTGTAGGCAAGACCCAGGCAGGACTTTCCCTTCCCTCAGTTGTTGGGAGGAGAAATACATCACAATGTGGGGCTCAAGCAGAAAACAAAAGAAATATCCCCTATTTTCTGGGCTCAGAATTATGTCAGAATCTCTCCTATGGGCAAAGCCTTTGTTAAAAAAGGAGAATCTTGTCAAATAGTTGATGGGCTCAGAGATATGTCCCAATGCCATATGTTACAAATTGCTGTAGGCAGGCTTCAGGCAGGAGACTCACCTTGGTGTTGGGCCCAATAATGTGTCACAGTGCTTTCTGCTTGCAGAGCAAAGTCAACAGAGTAATGTCACCGAGAAGTTGGACCCACCAATGTATCACAATCTCCTTCCAAACAAATCCTAAAAAACAAAAGAAGAGTAACATGAGCTAGGTGCTGGGCACAGTGATATGTCACAATCCTTTCTTTAAGCAGGGACTAGGCAGGAGAAGAAAATCACACCACATGGGTGATGGGCTCATAGATATTTCACAATGTCCCCTTAGGCAAAGCTCAGGAAGGAGAGGTAAATCATCTAGGTTTTGGATGCAACAATATGTCAAAATGGCCATTGTGGACTGGGCACAGGCAGAAGAGTCACATAACATGGATGTGGGACTCAGCAATACATCACAACACCCCTGTGAGTAGCACTAATGCAAGACAGAAAACATACATTACCTAGGTGCAAGGCCAAGTGATATGTCCCAATGTCCCCTGTGGGCAGCACCAAGGCAGGAGATAAGAGTCACATCATCTAGGTGCTGGCTTCAGTGATATATCAGAATCCCATCTGTGAGCTGGACACAGGAAACAGAGCTAAAACACTCAGGAGCTGGGCAGAGATGTATGTCACAATCCCACCTGCAGAAAGCGACAGGGATGAGATGAACAACTCCACACATGTCCGGATTCCAGGTATGAGAATTTGTATGTTTGGCCTAGGTACAACAGTCCCAATCTCAACAGTGAACTGGATTCATAAATGAGTCTTCTCTGGCTGAGAAGAACTTCTCCCCTTAGGAGAGTTACAGTCTCACAGATGTAATGAATTTTGGTTTGAGAGTCACCCACCTACCTGTGGACAAGATCCATATATGAGAGTCAATTTTCTCTTTCTTTCTTTCTTTCTTTCTTTCTTTCTTTCTTTCTTTCTTTCTTTCTTTCTTTCTTTTCTTTCTTTCTTTCTTTCTTTCTTTCTTTCTTTCTTTCTTCTTTCTTCTTTCTTTCTTTTTTCTTTCTTTCTTTTTCTTTCTTTCTTTCTTCCTTCCTTCTTTCTTCTTTCTTTCTTCTTTCTTTCTCTTTCTTTCTTCTTTAATTCTTTCTTTTCCTTTCTTTCTTTCTCTTTCTTTCTTTCTTTTCCTTCCTTCCTTCCTTCCTTCCTTCCTTCCTTCCTTCCTTCCTTCTTTCTCTCTCTCTCTCTCTCTTTCTTTCTTTCTTTCTTTCTTTCTTTCTTTCTTTCTTTCTTTCTTTCTTTCTTTCTTTCTTTCTTTCTTTCTTCTTTTGGTCCCTTGAGACGGAGTCTCACTCTATCGCCAGGCTGGAGTGCAGTGGGGCGATCTCGGCTCTCTGCAACCTCTGCCTCCTGGGTTCAAGCAACTCTCTTGCCTCAGCTTCCCGAGTAGCTGGGATTGCAGGTACGTGCCACGACGCTCAGCTAATTTTTGTATTTTTAGTAGAGATGGGGTGGCCAGGCACAGTGTCCCATGCCTGTAATCCCAGCACTTTGGGAGGTCGAGGTGGGTGGATCACCTGAGGTCAGGAGTTTGAGACCAGCCTAATTAATATGGTGAAACCCCGTCTCCACTAAAAATACAAAAATTAGCTGGGAATGGTGGCATGAGCCTGTAGTCCCTGCTACTCGGGAAGCTGAAACAAGAGAATTGTTTGAACCAGGGAGGCGGATGTTGCAGTAAGCCTAGATGGTGCCACTGCACTCCAGTCTGGGTGACAGAGCAAGACTCTGTCTCAAAATAATAATCATAATCATAATCATAATCATAATCATAATCATAAATAGTAGAGAGAAGTGGTTTCACCATGTTGGCCAGGATGGTCTTGATCTCCTGATCTCATGATCTGTCCGCCTCGGCTTCCCAAAGTGCTGCGATTACAGGCGTGAGCCACTGAGCCATGCCGGTTGTGCCCATTTTTGAGGATGGTAACTTTTATTGTCACCAGAGTGTGCATGAGTGTTAGAATCTCACCTGTTTGCTGGGCCCTGTTAGGACACTATGTACCTCCTGTGGACCTTGTAGAGTATGCATTAAACATAATCCACTCTGAGGTCTTCATGCTGATATGAACCTATGATCATACCTGTGGCCATAAGTCCAGGTATGAGAGTCAACATCTCTCCAGCTGGCTGGATCCAGATAAGAGGATCTTTACTTGGCTGTAAACTGGGTTCAGAAATAAGTCACTATCCCAACTGTGACTGGATGTTCACATGTGATAGTTACAATTCCCGCTGTGGACGGCATTCAGGTATGAGGTTTAGACCTCCCTAATCACCTCTGTTCCTGTGTAGGAATGACAATTCTGATGATTGGTGGGTGTGCACACAGAGAACACAATCTCACCTGTGTTCTGGGCCCTGTGATGACACTGTACCATCTGAGTGCTTTATAGGATATGCAAGAGTGCTTACTTTCTCTGACCTTCATAGTAAGAGAAGACCCATAATTTTGCAAGTTTTGTTAAGCCTGGCTGTGAGAGAAAGTATCTCTGCTATTGGTTGGTTTAAGGTATGAATGTCATCATCACACCTACATGCTAGGCCAAAATATATGTGACAATCTCACATTTGGGTAGTCAGAAGCAGGAGAGTCTCATCACCTGGGTCTGTGTCAGGGACATGTTGCAGTCTTCCCTGAGGACAGGGACAAGGCAAGAGAGTCACATCCCTAAGAGTTCTGCCAGGGATATGTTCTTGTTCTCTCCTGAAAGCACGACACATGCAGCAGAGTCACCTCACCTGGGTTCTGGGCCCAGTGATATGTCACAATTTTCCCTGTGAACTAAGCACAGGCAGGTGAAACACATCACCTGTTTGCTGGGCCCAGAAGTATGCTACAATTTTTCTTGTGAGCAGGGTTCAGGCAGAAATGGGGGGGGATCATATTTTCTAGGTGATAAATGCAGAGCTATGTCACAAGGCCCTCAGTAGTCAGGGTCTTGGCAGAAGCTTCCTATTGACTAGGTGATTGGCCCAGTGATACATCACAATAGCTAAATTATGTGGGGCCCAAGGCAAAGAGGAGAGTTGCATCACCTAAGTGATGAACAAAAAGATACTTCATAGTACCCATGGGGAAATGGCCCATGCAGGTGAGTCACATTACCTACGTGTTGGACCCAGTGATATGTCACAATACACAATAAATGTAGGGTGCAGCCAAGAGCGGAGAGTCAAATAGCTCACTTGCTGGGCCCGGTGATACATTGTAATCTCTCTTTGGTCAGAGCCCTACAGTAGAAGAAACTCAGTTCACCTCGGTGCTGAGGTCAGCCATATGTCACAATACCCCTGAGAAATGAGCCCAGGCAAAGAGTGAGAGGCCCACAGATATTTTGCAATGGCTCCTGTGGGTAGCGCTCTGTAAAAAGACAGTCACATTACCTAGAGTCTGCCCGCAACGATTTGTAACAATCCCTGCTATAAACAGGTAGCAGTCAGGAGAAGTGAGTCCCATCACCTGGGTGGTCAGTGTAGAGATATGTCACTATGCCCCCTGTAGGCAAAGTCTAGACAAGAGTTACATCACCTGGGTGTTGGACCCAGCAATATGTCACAATGGCTCATGTGGGCAAAGCACAGGACAGAGTCACATAACAAAGTGCCAGGACCAGTGTTAGGTCAGGATACCCATTATGGGCAGTGCCAAGACAGGAGAATAGAAGCATATTAATTAGATGCTTGATTCAGAGATATATCACAATCTCATCTGTGGGCTACACCCAGGCAAAAATGTCAAATCACTCAGGTGCTGGCTAGAGGTGTATGTCAGAATCACACCTGCAGGAAGGTCCATGGATGAGATTAACAATCCCACATAAGTTCCGGTTCTGGGTATGAGAGTGAACGCCTCCTGTACGTTGTATCTATGTGCATAAGTCACAATCTCAATGGAGGAATGGGTTTTTTCCATGAGAGCCTTAATCCCTTTTGAAAACGGAGTTATCTTAGTGGACTCACAGCCTCACAAGTGTTTTGGATCTTGGTCAGGGAGTCACAAACCCACTGGCAGACAATATCCACTTTTAAGAGCCAATTTTCCAACTTTTGACTGCCTCTGGGTGTGAGTTTCAGAACCTCAATTATGGTCCATGTTCGTGTGGGAGAATGACAATTTTGACAGATGGCTGGGCTCAGGCAGGAGCATTTCATCCTGCAGGTGTTGAGACAAAGGATATGATACAACACCTAAAATATGCTGGGTGCAGGCAAAAGAGGAGACTCATATTAGCTGGTTGCTAGGTCCAGTTATATGTCACCACCTCCCTTTTTGGCAGGGCTAAGGAAAAAGAGGAGAGTCAGAGCTAAAGAAATGTCATAATGTCCCTGTGGGTAGGGTCTATGCATAAGAGTTGCATCACCTAGTCATTAAACCCAGCCGTATATTAGAATACATAATGTATACAAGGCCCAGGCAAGAAAGGAGAGAATATCACATAGGTACTGTGTCCAGCAATATGTCACCATACCCCCCAGAGGGGAGGCTCCAGGCAACAGGGTAACATTACCTAAGTGAAGTGCCCACAGAGATGTTTCAATGCCCCTGGTGGGTAGGATTTTGAAAAACGAGAAGTTACAGAACCTAGGGAACAGGCCTAGGTATGTGTCACATTCATCTCCAAGACGGAGCCCAGACATGAGAGAAAAGTCACATGATGTAGGGCATGTAATATGTCACAATCCTTATGTGAGCAGGCCCTAGGAAGAAGTAGAGTGTCACATAGTCTAGATGATGGGCCCAGAGGCATTTGACAATGACTCCTGTAGGTAGGGACCAGGCAGAAGAATCACATCACCCCTGTGCTGTTCCCAGTTATAAGTCACACTTCCTTCTGTGGGCATGACCCAGGCAGAGAGAATTCACATCATCCCAGTGCTAGACCCAGGGATATGTCACAATCTCTCTTATGGGCAATGCTCAGGTAAGAGAGGAGAGTCTCATCAAATAGGTGATGCACGCAGAGGTATGTCACGATGCCTTCTGTGAACTCGATCCAGGCAGAAGATTCACATCAACATCAACTTGGTGCTAAGCCCAGCAACGTGTCACAATCCCTTCTGTGTAAAGGGACCAGGCAGGAGAAGAGAATCACATCACCTGGCTGATGAGCACAGAGATATGTCACAATGCCCCTGTAAGGCAGGGCCCAGGCAGTTGGGTTACATCACCTGAGTAGTGGACCCAGCAATATTAACACAGTGTCCCATATGGGCAGTGCACAAGCCGGAGAGTCACATAACCTGGATGCGAGGCCAAGCTATATATAACAACGCTTCCTGAGGGCAGCGCCAAGGCAGAAGAGGAGACTCACATCACCTGGGTGTAAGGTCTAGCGATATGTCAAACTGCTCACTGTGGGCAGTGCCAACGAAGGAGAATAGAGTTACATCCTCAATGTGCTGGATCCAGCAATATGTTAATATCCCATCTGTGGGCTGGGTCCATGCGAGCCCGTCAAGTCACTTAGGTGCTAGGCACTGGGAAATTTGACAATGGAAGCTGCAGAATGGTCCAGGAATTAGATTAACAATCGCACAGCTGTCTCAGTGGTAGGCATGACATTCAACACCTCCTGTATGTTGGGTCTAAGCCCACGAATAACCATCTCAACACCAGACTGGATTTGCGCATGAGAGCCTCAATTCCTCTGCAGACTGACTTGTGTTCCCGTGAGAGGATGACAATAGTTACTGTTGGCTGGGTATGCATATGAGTGTCACAATCTCACCTGTGTGCTCGGCCCAGTTAGCACGCTCTGTGTACTACCCAATGGCCCTATACTGTATGAATGAGAGTCGTAATCAACTTTGAGACCTTCCTAATGGTAGGGACCCATGATCATACTTGTAACATTAAGCCCAGGGATGAGAGTCAACATCATTACAATTAACTATGTCAGGATAGGAGACTCATCCCTTGCCTATAAGCTGGGTTTAGAAACGAGCCACCATTTCAACTCTGGTTGAATGTTTATATATGAACACAGGCCTAGCACCAATGTGATGTGAGTCTTTGGCCTAGACACTTCAAGCAGGAGGCAATGTGACATATCTCTGGGTCTATCAACTATTTGATATGACCTTCCTTTTTTACCTGAGCTTTCCCCATAAAAGAGATGTGACATATGTCTAGACCCAGCACCTGGGTGATGTGGCTCTTCTTTATTGACTGAGCCCTGTGTATTTTGGGTATTCTGACATATCCCTGTACCTAACTTCTGGAAGATAAGAAGATCCAACATGGGCCCTGCCTAAAAAGTCTCTTGTGACAAATTTCTACATGAATCACCTTGGAGATTTGACTCTTCTCTCTTACCTGAGCTTTGCCCATAAGAGAGATTGTTACGTACCTCTGCAGCAAGCACCTAAATGCCGTGACTCTTCTTTCTTGCCTGGGTCATGCCCACAGATGAAAGGTGGCTTATCGCTGTGTCCAGCACACCGGTTATGTGATTATGCTGCCTGATCTCTTCTCACAGGAGCTGTTGTGACAAATCCCTGGACCCAGAAATTATTTAATATGACTCTCCTCAATGACCTTAACTTTGTGCATGGGATAAATTGTGACATACCTCTGGATCCAGCACCGAGGTGATGCGACTCTCCTTTTCTGCATGGGCTATGCTTACAAGAAGGAGGCTGACTTATT